>NW_014040929.1:0-202694 GCF_000001405.40 Homo sapiens | reverse complement strand
CACCGCCCACCCACTCCAGGGCCGGACACGGGAAGGGACCGCCCAGACCGAAGGTCGCAGGGGCCTAAAACCCCGGGTCCTGAATGCGCCTGGGACCTGCAGCGAACCTGGCGTCCCCACCTGACTCCAGAATCAGATTCAGGCCAGGCCAGGAACCACCCCAGCTTCCTGCATCCGCCTTGGTCCAGGCAGCAATGCGGAAGGCGGACGCCAGGGGGTCGGAGGCTCAAGGGCGGGGATCGAGACCCAAGCCCTGGCGCGCCCACCAAGATGTGGCTCTGCACTAAGGTTCCGGAACAGCCGGCCCCGAACACCCACGTGCAGCTTCCGATCGCAGCCCTGGCCTGGCTCCTCGGTCCCCGGTTGAGAGACCCGCGACCGCTGCAGGGTGCCTCGCCGAGGGTGGGGGCTCGAGGCGCACAGTGCTCCCAGCCTCTCCCACCCCAACCCCGCCATTAAGGGAAGCCCCAGCGACGCCCTGAACCCTGAAAGTCACACTGGGGCCGGGACTGCACTTGGCGTCCGCTTCCCCTCCCGTCACAGTGACCAGGGCTAGGACCGGGGTCCGGGCCGTCGGGGAGAGCGGAGGGCGCGTGGGAATGGGGCTCGCTGCGCCAGGGAAAACCCACGCCGTCCTTCGAGTCCTCCCAGCTGTTCCGCAGAGCCGGGGCCGCTGCCATCGCGTCTGCCCCGAGGGTGCGCAGGCGGGTACCTGTCCCGACTCGGGGAACAGCGGGAGCCCGGAGACGCCCGTCGGGCTTCCCAGCCCCACCTGGGACGTCTCTAGGGGCGGGAGGCCAGGAGAGAAGAGGGTGGGAGAGATGAGCTGCAGGGGGATACGGGACCCAGGGACCCGGGATCTTATAACACGCTTTCCACCCGTAGGATTGGGGCCCACAAATGACCAGAAAGGTGGGACTCATTCGCCCCCTTTGCAGATGGACCCATGTTGGCGCCCCTTAGATCTGCAGTGGGGGCACCAGGACCTGCGGTGAGCGCCTCTGCGCCCCAAACGCCAGCAGGTCCGCCCGACCGCATTCCCACCTGGCTTGCTTTGCACAAATGCTGCGTCAGGGCACGCCCCACACCCACTCCTTCCCAGATCGCGACCCTCACGCCTTCGCAGACAGAAAGTGTCCTAAGCACAGGCAGGCTCAGAGCCCGCCTCCGCCTCGGATTCGCTGTGTGGCCCGGAGCCAGTATCTTGGCCTCTCTGGGTCTCAGTTTGCTCATCTCAGTGAATGGGACACAGACACAGTCGCGCTGCGGGCTAACGCTTTATTTGCCAGCCAAGGCCCCGGGCCCGCCTGGGCTTCTGCTCAGAAGATCCTCACGGAGTCCAGCTGCACGTCCCCGCCCACCTCCACCAGGCGCACGCGCGCCAGCGGCAGGCGGTGGCGGAAGTGGTGGTACTGGGCGTCCCCAACCACGGCCTGCAGGGGAGGGTCGGTGGTGAGGATTCCGGAGGCCCGTGCTGGGTGGCCCTGGGGAAATCACTCATCCCCTCTGGGCCTCAGTTTCCTCACTGGGAAAATGGGGCTATTGTTCATTCTAACTCTTGCGTGAGGATCAAACGAGTTGACTGTGTGGCACAGTAAAAAGCGGCTTTTTTAGTGCTGGTAATGGATATTCTCATTTCAGCGACCATTACCCGCTATTAAAGCGCAGAGGAGGGAGGTGAATTCGCGTAAGCTGTGGGTGGTGGAGGATCTGCCGCCACTCCCACCCGCCAATCCTTGCTAGGACGAGTTCCTGGGCGCTGTTTCCAACCCATCCCTCCCCATGCCTCAAACCCCGGACCTCAGGAAGGAATGAACTGGGAGTAGGGTCTGGGATGGCGAGTCTGGGCCACGCCTTCCCGCTAGGACGCCCACCCCTTGGACAGCTGCACGCCTCGTCCTGACCCTGCTGTCTCTCTGTCCCTCGGACCCAAGTGGGAGTTGTTTAGGCGAGAGAGAGGGTCGAAGGACACCCTTCTCCGCCTTGGCCACGACTTCCCTACCCCCCTCACCCCGCCCCGAACCTCCCTGCCTTCCACCAATAGCCTGGCTTTGCCCAACCCTCTGCTCCAGGGACCTAAGTCTTGGCGTCCACGCCCCTGTCGCAGAGACGCACCTTGAAGCCGTCGTCTGACGCGATGATGAGCACCTCGAAGGGCTGCCCGCGCTGGAAAGGAACGCCCGGCCCGCGCTCCTCGCGGCCCCAGGAGCCTTGCTCCTTGCTGTTGAAGACCACCTCCGACGTGTCCAGCCGGGGGTTGAAATGCAGGGCGGCATCGGAGCCCTGCTCCTCCCCGCACAGCAGGTTTACATGGAACCTGGAAGAGGGGGATGGTGGCCGTCAGGGCTCAGAAACCACCCAGACCAAGAAATGTTGAGGGTGAGGAATACCGATGTCTACAATTTACTTTGAATGAATAAGTAAATGAAATGTTGGCTGGGTGCAGTGGCTCACCCTGTAATCCCAGCACTCTGGGAGGTGGAGAAGGGAGGATCGCTTGGGCCCGGAAGTTAAAGACCAGCCTGGGCAACATAGCAAGACCCCACCTTACAAAAAAACGAAAGAACAAACAAAACATAAACCGCCCAGACCAAAGTGAAGGTCTTATGGGCTGGCACTCCCCATTCCCAGAGTACCCCCAAATTAACAGGGACCTGAAGACAGGCACACACCGCAGAAGGAGAGGTGGGCGACTAATGACCAGGGAGCTTAGATTCCCAAGGCAGCCAAAATATCATGAGGCCCTTGGCAGAAACCTACCCAGACCAAACTCACTACGCTTAGGGCAGGGTGCCCTCATTTCCAAAGAGCCTGGGAGCTGCCCAGGAGGTCTGGGTGATAGCCAGGGTGCTCCTGATGCTCAGGGAACCCTCAGCTTCTACAGGACAAAGAATAATACCAGGAACCCCAGTATTTCCAGGGTACCTCAGAATCCAGAAGGCCCGAAGTTCCTTAGCCAGGAAGTCAAAGGATGGCTTGGCAAGGACTCCCAGGGTCCAGGGTGTCTCCAGGACTTGGAGTATTTCCAGAGTTCCCTGGGACTCAGACATGGAAGTCATAGGACTATATCTAGGAACCCTGAGATTACCCAGGGACCTCAAATGCTTAGGGAAACTTAGGGACCCCAGCCACAAAGGCACGGGGGCAAATACGAATACATCAGATTTGAGGTCAGAAATGGCCTCGGACTCCTAGCCTGGTGGATACAGGTGGCCTCGGGCCCCTACTTCTGGACTGCAAAAATTGGGAGTCAGCTGATCCTGAGACCTGTACCCTTTACCCCTAGGGCCTGGGGCCTCACCTGCTGGCATTGGGAGGAACCAAGCCGCGAATTCTCAGCACCGTGCCAGGGCGGATGCCCTCGGGCAGCGAGGACTTGTGGGGGACGTTCTGCAAGAGTGGGGTGCAGGGGCCACTGTGAGCCGGTGAGACCAAAGGAGGGAGGCAGAAGGTGGGTCACCCCTCAGAGGAGCCGACCAGGGCTGAGACTGGCAGAAATCAGTGGAAGAGGAAAGGGTGGCGGAGAGGCAGGAAAGAGACCAGAAACAGACAGGGAAACAGATGGGGAGAGCAACAAAGACAAACAGAAAGATCCTCAAAGAGGGCCCCAGAGGAAGCCACAAAGAGGTAGAGGGGACAGTCGGGATGGGGGTTACCCGGAGGCCACAGCCCAGGCCAGTCCGTGGCACACTCACTGCCCACTTGCTCCTTTGAAAGAGGAGCCCCCAGCCCCCTCCCTGCTTGGCCCCGCCCCGGGCCCCTGGAGCACTCACGGACATGGCTGGGACCGGGTTGGGCAGCCGTGGTGGTGGGGCCTGCTGGGGACCTTAAATAAAAGCAGGGCGGGGCTGGCCCTGATGACTCACCCCACCCCTTCCCACCCACCACCCACACCTGGCACGGACCCTGGCCCTGGGGCAAGCCCGGCGAAGCGGGAGTGGCACCTCTTCTTGGGGGCCCTGATCCCCCCATCACCCAGGGCCCGGGTGCACTGCCCCTCTCCTAGGAGCTGATAATAAGAGGGAATGTTTAATAGTAATAAACTCACAGCAGAGAAGGCTCCTTGTGCCACTGCCCCTCCACCCCTGTCTTCCCGCTGCCTGGCACACGGAGAGCCTCTATCTCATTTCATGTATTTATTTGTTAGTAATTTCTCTTATTTTATACACAGACATATTAGGTCCTGGGAGGCCAATCTGGGTGGGAACTCCAGACCCTTCTCTCCAGCTGAGAACCTCCTGCCTGGACTGATCCGTGCTGAAATCTAAGCTTCTGCCTCTGTAATGGAACAGCGGCCACAATAGGAGCACTAGTGACTGACAGGGTGGCTTCATGGGTTCACAGGGGGCCTGCCTGATCCCCTCAGCGCTGCACCCCTGGGTCCTGGAGTGTGCCCAGTTCATGGAAGTCCTCAGTCAGGAGGGGTGAAAGGAGGGGATCCACTAGGACTATGCCTGTCATTTCCAAGGCCCCTCGGCTGCCCAGGAGATGCAGGAAATCACTGATTGGGACCCCATCATTCCAACAGGGAGGAGTATGGGTCACCCCCATTGTACAGAGGAGGAGGCTGAAGCTGGGATGGGAAGCGATTTGCCAAAGGCAGGAGCGTGCAGGACCCGTTGCCCTGACCTCTGGCTCTCCTCACCTCTGCTCGCACCTCTCCTGTGGGTTCTGTCTCTGGGGCTGGCTGTCTCACTCTGTCCGTCTCTGCCCCTAACTCTGTCTACCACATATTCCTGTCCCACTTCTCTCCTTCAAGTCTCTCTTCTTCCTCCTTCCAGGACTGCTACCATCATGCCACCAAGTTTGTAGGTCAGGATGAGGTGGGTTTTGGGGTGGTGGGTGGCCTAGCATTCCATCACCACCTAGATCAAAAGCAGAGCAAGGCGGGGACCCTCCCGCCAGGCCCGAAACAGCCCCCTTGGGCCTAAGACTCTGCAAGAGAACTCAGGGTTGGGGAATTGGCTTGGTGGAGGGGCGGGTAGGGCTGAAAGATGCTTCTGAAAGGCAGGGATGGTGTGGGAGCTGAGCAGAAACCACTCCTAGCAGCCCAGCAGCCCTCCTGGACCTTTTCCACTCGCCACTCCAGCTCCTGCCCCACCCAGCAGGCTGCTGAGAGGCCTGGGCAGAGGCAGGCTGGCAGTGGAAAGTTTGGGTGGAGACAGCAGACCCAGAACCATCCTCCACCCTCTGCGTCCCAGGCCCCCAGCCTCTCGCCCCCTCCCCACACACTCCAAGGCACCAAGCTCAGGGACCAGTTCTTGGGAACATGAGCTCAGAGAGGGAGGCTAGCAGCTGCATTTCAGTAGGGGCTGCAAGCACCCCCATTCTGCAGAGGACAAAACTGAGGCTTAGACAGGGGCCACCTCTCAGTCAAGGAAGAGGCCAGCCCCTCAGCTCCAGAGGGGTCTTTGTGCCAAGGACATGTCATGGGCACGGACAGAGAGGATAGCAGGGTGTCCGGTGATCATACCACCAGCCCAGCTCAGTTAGTTCCCGAGAATGTTCCCCTGAATGGTGGACTCCATTGTTCTAACATTATTGACCATTCTAAAGAAGACACTCTCGCCTGGGCAACACAGCAAGACCTCATCACTACAAAAAATAAAAATAAAATAAAATAGCCCAGTGGGTTGGCGCACATCTGCCTGTAATTCCAGCTACTTGGGAGGCTGAGGCAGGAGAATTGCTTGAGCCCAGGAGATCAGAGGCTGCAGGGAGCTATGATCACACCACAGCTCTCCAGCCTGGGCAACACAGTGAGACCTCAGTCCACAAAAAGAAAAGACACTCCTTACATTACTTGATACATCATTCTGTACCTTGCTATTGTTTCCCAAGAACATCTTTTTATTTATTTCTATTTCTTCACTGTGGCTGGATATGACTTCACACCCAACCAACGTGCAAGTCCCAACTTGCCTTAAGTGATTGGCCAAATGGTTGCAGTCAATCTGTTACCAGTCTAAAAGGCTGGCTCCTTTCCTGTAACTGAGATATGCATCCTCGATGGGCTCTTATTCATTAGTGTTGGTTATGTTTCTCATCAGTTGTGAAACAATATTTTCTTTTGTTTTTTTTTTCTTTTGTTTTTTTTTTGAGACAGAGGCTCACCCTGTCACCCAGGCTGGAGTGCAGTGGTGCGATCTCGGCTCGCTGCAACCTCCACCTCCCGGGTTGAAGTGATTCTTTGGCCTCAGCCTCCTGAGTAGCTGGGATTACAGGCACCCACCAACATGCCTGGCTAATTTTTTTGTTTGTTTGTTTTTGGTTTTTTTTGAGACAGAGTCTTGCTCTGCCGCCCAGGCTGGAGTGCAGTGGCACCATTTCGGCTCACTGCAAGCTCCGCCTCCCTGGTTCACGCCATTCTCCTGCCTCAGCCTCCTGAGTAGCTGGGACTACAGGCTCCCGCCACCACGCCCAGCTAATTTTTTGCATTTTTGGTAGAGACGGGGTTTCACTGTATTAGCCAGGATGGTCTCGGTCTCCTGACCTCATGATCCGCCCGCCTCAGCCTCCCAAAGTGCTGGGATTACAGGCATAAGCCACCGCGCCTGGCCTAATTTTTGTATTTTTAGTAGAGACAGGGTTTCGCCATGTTGGTCAGGCTGGTCTCGAACTCCTGACCTCGTGATCTGCCCTCCTCGGCCTCCCAAAGTGTTGGGATTACAGGTGTGAGCCACTGCGCCTGGCCTGAAATAATATTTTCGTGAGCCTTTTTTCTTTTTCTTTCTCGTTTTTTGAGACAGAGTCTCGCTCTGTTGCCCAGGCAGGAGTGCAGTGGTTTGATCTTGGCTCACTGCAACCTCTGCCTTCCAGGTTCAAGTGATTCTCCTGCCTCAGCCTCCCAAGTAGCTGGGATTTCAGGTGCCTGCCACCACGCCTGGCTACTTTTTGTATTTTTAGTAGAGACGGGGTTTCACCATGTTGGCCAGACTGGCCTTGAACTCCTGACCTCAGGTGATCCACCTGCCTCAGCCTCCCAAAGTGCTGTGATTGCAAGTGTGAACCAACGCACCTGGTCACCTTTTTTCAATTTTAAATAGTTAATGTAGGCCGGGTGTGGTGGTGCACACCTGCATTCCCAGCTACTCGAGAGGCCGAGGCAGGAGAATTGCTTGAACCCAGGAGGCAGAAATTGTAGTGAGCCAAGATAGCTCCATTGCGCTTTAGCCTGGGCAAAAAGAACAAGACTCTGTCTCAAAAAGTATATATAATAATAATAATAATAATAATAATAATAATAATAAATGTATATATTTCTCAATAGTCTTTCTATCAAGGTATCCTTCCCATAAAATAAAAGATGCAGATATTAAAGGTATAGTTCACTGATTTTGAGAACTGTGGAGACCTATCTAACCACCTCCTCAATTAAGTTTCCTGGTGTCCAGGAAATAGTGGCCTCTCTTCTAGTTCCAGGAAGCCACTGGCCAGTGTCACTCCTGACCATTTTTTTGTTTTGTTTTGTTTTGTTTTGTTTTTGAGATGGGGGTCTCACTCTGTCACCCAGGCTGGAGTGCAGTGGTGCAGTCTCCGCTCACTGCAGCCTCAATCTTCCAAGCTTAAACCTCCTGGGCTCACCACCTCAGCCTCCCGAGTAGCTGGGGCTACAGACACACGCCACCATGCCTGGCTAATTGTGTATTTTTTGTAGAGAGAGGGTTTTACGATGTTGCCTAGGCTGGTGTTGAACTCCTGGAGTCAAGCGATCTGCCTGCCTTAGCCTCCCAAAGTGCTGGGATTACAGGCATGAGCCACTGGGCCTGGCCACTGCTGAGCATTGACTAGCCACCGAGGTTCTTTTGTCTCAAAATAAAGAAGAGGGAGTAGACTGATTTTTCTTACTTTATGCCTCTTTTAGGAAATAATTTAGATGAAAAGTAGCTAATTGCACACTAGGTGGTTGTAGAGATTTAAAATTCAGGCTCCATGAATGTCATTTGTTGGTCACATTTTGGTTATTTTTTATACACAGTGAAGGTAATTCTGGGGCTGCTTTTTGTAAATCAACATTCTGATGATGAAAATGACACTTAGAAATCTCACTTTGGCTGGGCACGGTGGCTCATGCCTATAATCCCAACACTTTGGGAGGCCGAGGCGGGCGGATCACCTGAGGTCAGGAGTTCGAGACCAGCCTGGCCAATAGGGTGAAACCCCGTCTCTACTAAAAATAGAAAAAATTAGCCGGGCATGGTGGCAGGCACCTGTAATGCCAGCTACTCGGGGGGCTGAGGCAGGAGAATCGCTTGAACCTGGGAGGCAGAGGTTGCAGTGAGCCAAGATCACGCCATTGCACTCCAGCCTGGGGGACAAGATCGAGACTTCCTCTCAAAAAAAAAAAAAAAAAAGGAAAGAAATCTCACTTTGTTCTTGGCCAGGCGCAGTGGTTCACCCTGTAATCCCAGCACCTTGGGAGGCCAAGGCGGTGGATCACCTGAGGTCAGGAATTTGAGACCAGCCTGGCCAACATAGTGAAACCCTGCCTCTACTAAAAATACCAAAAAATTATATATATCTATATTAGCTGGGTGTGGTGGCACACACCTGTGATCCTAGCTACTTGGGAGGCTGAAGCAGGAGAATCACCTGAACCCGGGAGACGGAGGTTGTGGTGTGTGATCGCACCACTGCACTTGAGCCTGGGCGACAGAGCAAGACTCCATCAAAAAAAGACCAAACAAAAAAACAAAAACAAAAACAAAAAAACCCCAGAAACTCACTTTGTTCTTAAGCTTTTATGCCCATTGGAAATCTCACGACTCTATTTTTATAAATATAGTAAATATTAATAAAACAATCCAATTACCGCTAAGAAAAAGTCTATTCTCTAGTGTTCAGTTCCATTTATAAACTTAGTTAATTAAACTCTCTTAAATATTTTAAACTGAATGCATAATTTTAGAGGTTATTCATTTTTCAGTGTTTCAATTGCTCTATAAACTCATCCAAGTAATTCTTGTAAGTTTCCTAGTGATTCTTGTACATTTCAATGCTTAAACAGTAAAATACATGCATAGCTTTTTCTTCTTCCTTCCTTTCCTTCCTTTCCTTCCTTTCCTTCCTTTGCTGAACAATTGGGCCCTAAAGCTATTATGTGGGGCTGAGCAAGGTCATGGTGGCCCTGAATGGGCTGATTGGGGTGGGATGTCCTTGGGAGAGGTGTTTGGGGGTCAGGGCTGAGCAGGATGAGGAGCGCTCAGCAGAGGCTGCGCGTAAGTGCCCAGTGAGGGCCAGCAGGACACGTGACAGGGAGCCTGCACTCCCAGCATGGGAGGAGGACACCTGTGTGGGGTGGGTGCCCGACGAGGGGCATTGGAACCAGCCTCGGGGGGAGGTGCCATGTGGGAGTCAGAGATGAGGACTGGAACTGCTTTTTTTTTCTGGGAGGGAGTTACAGATATGGAAAGGGAGAGGTAGGCACCAGCCCTGTGGAGCTGGACTGGAAGTGGAGGCATTAGCGTGAGCTAATGGTTTGAGGATTGGGTTATTTGGTGGGGCAGGTTTGGACTCTTTTTATTTTTATTTAATTTAACATATTTATTTATTTATTTAGACAGAGTCTTCTCTGCCACCAGGCTGGAGTGCAATGGTGTGATCTCGGCTCACTGCAACTTCCGCCTCCCAGGTTCAAGCAATTCTCCCACCTCAGCCTCCCGAGTGGCTGGGACTACAGGCATGTGTCACTGCGCCTGGCTACTTTTTGTATTTTTAGTAGAGACGGGGGTTTCACCATGTTGGCCAGGCTGGTCTTGAACTCCTGACCTCAGGTGATCCACCTGCCTCGGCCTCTCGAAATGCTGGGATTACAGGCGTGAGCCTTCTTATACCAGTTTTTTTTGTTTGTTTGTTTTTGTTTGTTTGTTTTTTAGACAGAGTGCAATGGCGTGATCTCGGGTCATTGCAACAACCTCTGCCTCCTGGGTTCAAGGGATTCTCCTGCCTCAGCCTCTCAAGTAGCTGGGATTACAGACATGCACCACCATGCCCGGCTAATTTTGTATTTTTAGTAGAGACAAGATTTCTCCATGTTGGTCAGGTTGGTCTCAAACTCCCGACCTCAGGTGATCCGCCCGCCTTGGCCTCCCAAAATGCTGGGATTACAGGAGTGAGCCCTGCGCCCGGCATTCTTATGGTAGTTTTATACCCAAGCCCACTGAAGACCGTAGGAGGGAGAGGTAAAGTTTTCTTTCCCCTGCAAAGGACATTCGAGTTGTTTCCACTGTTTGGCTGTTATGAATAATGAACGCTTCTACGAACATTTTGTTTAAATATTTAGCACGAACATGTTTTTATTCCCCTTGGGCATATCCCTAGGAGTAGAATGCCTGGGTCCCAAGGGTAACTTATGTCACACTTTCCTCCCTTATTCAGCAGTCAGTAAAGGCTGGTAAATTTCATCTGGCTGTCCTGTCATTCTCTTTGAATTTGGAACAATCAT
This sequence comes from Homo sapiens, assembly GCF_000001405.40. Classification (NCBI taxonomy): domain Eukaryota; kingdom Metazoa; phylum Chordata; class Mammalia; order Primates; family Hominidae; genus Homo; species Homo sapiens. Next base: position 192,250 of record NW_014040929.1, on the reverse strand, counting down.
CCACCCTTTTTGGTTTATATGACATTGACTCTTCAAAACTCCCAACTATGGCCGGGTGTGGTGGCTCACATCTGTAATCCCAGAACTTTGGGAGGCTGAGGTGGGCGGATCACCTGAGGTCAGGCATTTGCGACCAGCCTGGCCAACATGGGGAAACCCTGTCTCCACTAAAAATACAAAAAATTAGCCGGGTGTGGTGACGCACGCCTGTAATCTCAGCTACTCTGGAAGCTGAGGCAGGAGAATCACTTGAACGCAGGAGAATCGCTTGAACCCGGGAGGCGGAGGTTGCAGTGAGCCAAGATCACGCCATTGCAATCCAGCCTGGGTGACAGAGCGAGACCTTGTGTCAAAAAAAGACATGGGACCTTCATTCAATTAAGATTCATAGTATGCAGCAAGATAGAACCCCCTAGTAGGGAGCAGTGGCTCACGCCTGTAGCACTGTGAGAGGCTGAGGCAAGAGGATCGTTTGAGACCACGAGTTCAAGGCCAGCCTGGGCAACATAGCAAGACCCTCATCTCTAGAAGAAATAAAAAGCTGGACATGACCAGGCGTGGTGGCTCATGCCTGTAATGCCAGCATTTTGGAGGTGAGGTGGGTGGATCACCTGAGGTCAGAAGTTTGAGAACATGGCAAAACCCTGTCTCTACTAAAAATAGAAAAATTAGCCAGGCGTGGTGGTGCTCGCCTGTAGTCCCAGCTCCTCGGGAGACTGAGGCAGGAGAATCACTTGAACCTGGGAGGCAGAGGTTGGTTGCAGTGAGCCGAGATCCTGCGCTCCAACCAGCCTGGGCGTCAGAAAGAGACCTTGTCTAAAAAAAAAAATCCCCTGTTTAAGACAGATGGATTAATTCCTTCTGTTTCTGTCCATAGGCTCTTGATTGCTTCTTAGGACTTCTCCAAAAGTGGAAGAAACAAGAAAACGTTGTCATTCTGAAACATCTTTACTATTTTTCTGAGGCTGCAGCCTTGGCCAGCCCGCAATCTGCCTTTCCAGGCACAGCAGGTGACAGTGTGAGTGGATAATTTGTTACCATGTAGCAAGAGACACTGGCTTTCCACCCTGCAATACAGGAGTCCTTCCTATCAGCCTCTCCTCTATCTCCTCCAGCCACGCCCTCATTTTAAGTTCTGCTGCCTGTATCAGCCACTTCTCCCACTGTCATGTTGGGGTTGCTGGTTGCTGGCAACAGAACCCTCCTCCGCTAGTTTACAGAGATTATTAGCGGCTATGACAGCTTACAGAATTTTTTTTTTTTTTTTGAGACGGAGTTTCGCTCTTGTTACCCAGGCTGGAGTGCAATGGCACGATCTTGGCTCACTGCAACCTCCGCCTCCTGGGTTCAAGAAATTTTCCTGCCTCAGCCTCCCGAGTACCTGGGATTACAGGCATGAGCCATCATACCCAGATAATTTTGTATTTTTAGTAGAGAGGGGGTTTCTTCATGTTGGTCAGGCTGGTCTCGAACTCCCAACCTCAGGTGATCCGCCCGCCTTGGCCTCCCAGAGTGCTGGGATCACAGACATGAGCCACCATGCCCGGCAATAGCTTACAGAATTTTCAGAGGACTAGGGAATAAGCTTCCGTGCTGCAAAGCTAGAGGGTGGATGCGGAGAGCATTCCCTGGCCAGAGCTTCCTAGGCTGTTCTAGATAAAAATAAATACCTCCATCACCTAACTAGCCAGAAGGCTCATCTCCCTCCCGTAAGTGTTACCTCATTTTCACCTTCTAAGTTTTGCAGGTGGTGGAGTGCAGTGGCTGATACCTGTAATCCCAGCACTTTGGGAAGCTGAACTGGGAAGACTCCTTGAGGCCAGGAGTTTGAGACCAGCCTGGGCAGCAGAGGAAGACCCTGTCTCTACAAAAAAAAAAAATTTAAAAATGAGCCAGTTTTGGGCCAGGCATGGGGGCTCACACCTGTAATCCCAGCACTTTGGGCAACTGAGGCTGGTAGATCGCTTGAGCCCAGGAGTTCAAGACCAGCCTGAGCAACACAGTGAGACCCTGTCTCTAAAAAAAAAAAAAAAAAAAAAAAAAAAAGCCGGGCACAGTGGCACATGCCTGTAATCCCAGCTACTTAGGAAGCTGAGGCAGGAGGATTGCTTGAACCTGGGCTGTTGAAGCTGCAGTGAGGCGAGATCACACCACTGCACTCCAGCTGGGGTGACAGAGTGAGATCCTGTCTCAAAAAAAGAAAAGAGTCAGGCGCGGTGGTTCACGCCTGTAATCCCAACACTTTGGGAGGCCGAGGCGGGCAGATCATGAGGTCAGGAGATCGAGAACATCCTAGCTAATACGGTAAAACCCCGTTTCTACTAAAAAATACAAAAAATTAGCCGGGCATTGTGGCGGGCGCCTGTAGTCCCAGCTAGTTGGGAGGCTGAGGCAAGAGAATGGCATGAACCCAGGAGGCAGAGCTTGCAGGGAGCCCAGATCACGCCACTGCACTCCAGCCTGGGCGACAGAGCGAGACTCCGTCTCAAAAAAAAAAAAAAGAAAAGAAAAGAAAAGAAAAAATTAGCCAAGTGTGGTAGCACACAACCGTTGTCCTACCTACTACTCCAGAGACTGAGGAAAATTGCTTCAGCCTGGGAGTTCTAGGCTGCAGTGGGCTATGATGGTGCCACTGCACTCCAGGCTGGGTGACAGGGCAAAACCACAGAGCAAGACCACTTCTTTCTTGGCTGGCTGGCTTTCTCTTTCTTTCTTTCTTTCTTTCTTTCTTTCTTTCTTTCTTTCTTTCTTTCTTTCTTTCTTTCTTTCTTTCTTTCTTTTCTTTCTTTCTTTCTTTCCTTCTTTCTTTCTTTTTCTTTCTTTCTTTCTTTCTTTCTTTCTTTCTTTCTTTCTTTCTTTCTTTCTTTCTTTCTTTCTTTCTTTCATCTCTCTCTCTCTTCCCTCCTTCCCTCCCTCTCTCCCTCCCTCCCTCCCTTCCTTCCTTCCTTCTCTCTCTCTTTCTTTTTGGACAGTCTTGCTCTGTCACCCAGCCTGGAGTGCAGTGGCACAAATTCTGCTCACTGCAACCTCCACCTTCTGGATTCAAGTGATTCTTGTGCCTCAGCCTACCCAGTAGCTGGGATTACAGGTGCGTGCCACCATGCCAGGCTAATTTTTTGTATTTTAGTAGAGACGGGGTTTTGCCATGTTGCCCAGGCTGGTCTTGAACTCTGGAGCTCAGGCAAACTGCCCACCTCAGCCTCCAAAGTGCTAGGATCACAGGTGTGAGCCACAGTACCTGGCCACGAGGGCATGTCTTCAAAAAAAGAGTTTTCCAGGGGTGCAAACTCAGCTTGGGGAAACCCAGTCCTATGTGAATCTAGCTACAAATAACTCTGGGAAATGTAGTTTTTAACTGCCTAATGCAAGAAAGCAGGCCAGGCTGGGTGCGGAGGTTCACGCCTGTAATCCCAGCACTTTGGGAGGCCAAGGCAGGAGGATACTTGAGTTCCAGAGTTTGAGACCAGCCTGGGCCACATAGTGAGGCATCAGCTCTACTAAAATAAAATAAAAAAAAAATTAACTGGGGGTGATGTCACATGCCTGTAGTCCCAGCCACTTTGGCGGCTGAGGCAGGAGGATCGCTTCAGCCCAGGAGGTTGAGGCTGCAGTGCATGATGATCTTGCCTGGGCAATAGATTAAGGCCCTGTCTCAAAAAAAAAAAAAAAAAAAAAAAAAAAAGGTGGGCCCGCTGGGGAGTGAGTTAGAAGCTGAGTAAGCCAATCTTCAGTGGTGGTTACCAAATTACTTGGAAAGATATAATTAGTTACATAGTGGGTAAATGTCTTTAACTGTGGGAACAGTTAGAATTCACTAAAAAGATTTTTACCTGTATCATTTTCATCACTGGAATGTTAATATATAAAACCAAAGGAGTCCCTGAAGTATCTTCACTGTGTTTAAAAAATAACCAAAACCACAGGGCATGGTGGCTCACACCTGTAATCCCAGTACTTTGGGAGGCCAGAAGTTGGAGGATCACTTAAGCCCAGGTTCCAGACTAGCCTGGGCAACATAGCCAGACCCTTGGCTAGGCACAGTAGTTCACATCTGTAATCCCAGCACTTTTGAAAGCTGAGGTGGGTGGATCACTTGAGGTCAGGAGTTCGAGACCAGCCTGGCCAACATGGTGAAACCCCATCTCTACTAAAAATACAAAAATCAGCCAAGAGTGGTGGTGCATGCTTGTAATCCCAGCTACTAAGTAGGCCAAGGCAAGAGAATCGCTTGAACCCAGGAGGCAGAGCTGAGATTGAGCCACTGCACTCCAGCCTGGGCAACAGAGTGAGACTCCATCTCAAAAGAAAAAAAAAAAAGAACCCATCAAGGACGTAGATCTGTTATCAGAAATGAGTCAGGACTTCGGGCTGATAACAGAGTTAATGTGCAAACCCTTGGCCAATCAGCAAAGGCACATTGGGACTTGCAGTATGTTGGCTACATGTGAAGTTACATCCAGCCACAGTGAAGCAATCACTAAAAAAAAATCAAAAATAAAACAAAAAACAATAACTCAAAATATCACTAACAAAATGGCACTGACAGAACCTGGGGTTTTAAATCCCTACAAACACTTAGTGTGCGATTAGTTACTTTTCACCTAAGTTATATCCTGAAAGAGGCCTAAAATCAGAAAAATCAGTCTGTCCCAACCCACTTTCTCATTTTCACGGCAAATGAACTTATTTTTCTTTTCTTTTCTTTTCTTTTTTTGAGACGGAATCTTGGAGTCTTGCTCTGTTGCCCAGGCTGGAGTGCAGTGGCGCGATCTTGGCTCACTGCAAGCTCCACCTCCCAGGTTCATGCCATTCTCCTGCCTCAGCCTCCTGAGTAGCTGGGACTACAGGTGCCCGCCACCACGCCTGGCTAATTTTTTGTATTTTTAGTAGAGACGGGGTTTCACCGTATTAGCCAGGATGGTCTCGATCTCCTGACCTCGTGATCCGCCCGCCTCGGCCTCCCAAAGTGCTGGGATTACAGGTGTAAGCCACCGCGCCTGGCCTTTTTTTTCTTTTTTGAGACCGAGTCTCGCTCTGTCACCCAGGCTTGAGTGCAGAGGTGCGATCTTAACTCACTGCAGCCTCCGCCTCCCAGGTTCAAGTGATTCTCTTGCCTCATCCTCCCCAGTAGCTGGGACTACAGGCAGGCGCCACGCTGTCGCATTGGCCAGGCTGGTCTCAAACTCCTGACCTCAGGTGATCCGCCCGCCTTGTTACCCAGGCTGGAGTGCAGTGGTGTGATCTTGGGTCACTGTAGCCTCCACCTCCAGGGCTCAGGTGATCCTCCTGCCCTAGCCTCCCGAGTAGCTGGGACTACAGGCACATGCCACCACAATGGATCAAAGGAAACTTTGTGGCTACTAACTGCTCAGGAGTGACAGTGGCTTCATGTGGCAGAAGGAGCAGTGACTGTTTCTAGGGGCACCAGGAAACTTGATTGGGGAGGTGGTTACACAGGTGACTATATGTGTCAAAACTCATTGAACTATTCCATTAAAATCTGAACCCTGAGCAGGGGCTCACACCTATAATCCCAGCACTTTGGGAGGCCAAAGCAGGTGGATCACTTGAGTCCAGGAGTTTGAGAACAGCCTGGACAACATGGCGAAACCCCATCAGTACAAAATAATACAAAAGTTAGGCAGGTGTGGTGGCACACTCCTGTAGTCCCAGCCACTCAGGAGGATGAGGTGGGAGGATCACTTGAATCTGGGAGGCAGAGGTTGCAGTAAGTTGAGATCATACCACTGCACTCCAGCCTGGGCGACAGAACAAGACCCTGTCTCAAAACAACAACAATAACAACAAAATCTGAACCTTTTATTTAATGGGAAAAATACCTCAATGAAATAACAATTGGGAAATAAACACATTAGTTATTTAAAACCGAAAAAAGACACACAAATATTACCGTGGCCAGGCCTGTAATCACAACATTTTAGGAGACCAAGGTGGGAGGATCGCTTGAGCCCAGGAGTTTGAGACCAGCCTGGGCAACATGGTGAGACCTCCTCTCTAGGAAAAAAAAAAAAAAAAAAAAAAAAGCTGGGCATGGTGGCGTGCAACTGTAGTCCAAGCTACTCCAGAGGCGGGAGGATTCCCAAGCCCAGGAGGCCAAGGCTGCAGTAAGCCATGATCACAGAGAGAGCCAGACCCTGTCTCAAAAAAAAAAAAAAAAAAAAATTATTGCACAACTAATGAGAAAGATAACACAATTGAATAAGAACCCATCAAGGGCTGGATGCAGTGGCTCATGCCTGTAATCCCAGCATTTTGGGAGGCTGAGGTGGGTGGATCACTTGAGGGCAGGAGTTCAAGACCAGCCTGGCCAACATGGTGAAACCCTGTCTCTACTAAAAATACAAAAATTAGCCATGAGTGGTGGCACATGCTTGTAATCCCAGCTACTCGGGAGGCTGAGGCAGGAGAATCACTTGAACCTGGGAAGCAGAGGTTGCAGTGAGTCGAGATCGTGCCACTGCACTCCAGCCTGGGTGACAGAGCAAAACTCTGTCTCAAAAACAAACAAACAAACAACAACAACAACAACAAAAACCCATCAAGGATGCAATCAAGGATGCAGATCTGTTACCAGAAAGGAGTCAGGACTTCAGGCTAATAATAGAGTGAATGGAAAGCTTTGGCCAGTCAGCAAAGGCACGTTGGGACTTGCAGCATGTTGGCTGCATGTGAAGTTACATCCAGCCACAGTGAAGCGATCACTAAAAAGTTGAGTTCCTGGGAAACACGGTACACAGCATGAGGCGTCAGTAATGTGAGGAGTGTGTTCTTTAGAATGGTCAATAATGTTAGAATGATGGAGTTCACCATTCAAGGGAACATTCTCGGGAACTAACTGAGCTGCGCTGGTGGTGTGATCACCGGACACCCTGCTGTCCTCTCTGTCCGTGCCCATGACATGTCCTTGGCACAGACACCCCTGTGGAGCCCAGGGCCTGGCCGCTTCCTTGGCTGAGAAGCTGTCCCTGTCTAGGCCTCAGTTTTGTCTTCTGCAGAATGGGGGTGCTTGCAGCTCCCACTGAAATGCAGCTGCAAGCCTCCCTCTCTGAGCTCACGTCCCTAGGAACTGGTCCCCCACCTTGGTGCCTTGGAGTGTGTGGGGAGGGGGCAAGAGGCTGGGGGCCTGGGACAAAGAGGGTGGAGGATGGTTCTGGGTCTGGTGTCTCCACCCAAACTTTCCACTGCCAGCCTGCCTCTGCCCAGGCCTCTCAGCAGCCTGCTGGGTGGGGCAGGAGTGCAGGAGTTGGGTGGGGAGTGGAAAAGGTCCAGGAGGGCTGCTGCATTGCTAGGAGTGGTTTATTTTTATTTATTTATTTGTTTGTTTGTTTATTTATTTTTGAGATGGAGTCTTGCTCTGTTGCCCAGGCTGGAGTGCAGTGGCGCGATCTCGGCTCACTGCAAGCTCTGCCTCCCGGGTTCATGCCATTCTCCTGCCTCAGCCTCCCGAGTAGCTGGGACTACAGGCGCCCGCCACCATGCCCGGCTAATTTTGTTTTGTATTTTTAGTAGAGACGGGGTTTCACCGTGTTAGCCAGTATGGTCTCGATCTCCTGACCTCGTGATCCACCCGCGTCGGCCTCCCAAAGTGCTGGGATTACAGGCTTTATTTTTATTTTTTGAGACAGAGTCTAGCTCTGTCGCCCAGGCTGCAGTGCAGTGGTGTGATCTCGGCTCACTACAACGTCCGCCTCCCCAGCTCAAGCAATTCTCCTGCCTCAGCCTCCCAGGTAGCTGGGATTACAGGTGTCCACCACCACACCTGGCCAATTTTTTGTATTTTCTATAGAGAAGGGGTTTCACCATGTTGGCCAGGCTGGTCTTGAACTCCTGACCTCAAGTGATCCACCTACCTTGGCCTCCCAAAGTGCTGGGATTACAGGCGTGAGCTACCATGCCCAGCCAGGAGTGGTTTCTGTTCAGCTCCCACACCATCCCTGCCTTTCAGAAACAGATTTCAGTCCTGCCCGCCCCCCCCCCCCGCCTCCCCCAGTCTACTTCCCCAACCCTGGATTCTCTTCTAGAGTCTTGGGCCCAAGCGGGCTATATTGGGGCTGGCGGGAGGGTCCCCACCTTGCTCTGCTTTTGATCTAGGTGGTGATGGAATGCTAGGCCACCCACCACCCTAAAACCCACCTCATCCTGACCTGCAAAATTGGTGGGAAGATGGTAACAGTCCTGGAAGGAGGAACAAGAGAGACTTGAAGGAGAGAAGTGGGACAGGAATACGCGGTAGACAGTTATAGACAGAGACAAACAGAGCCAGACAGCCAGCCCCAGAGACAGAACCCACAGGAGAGGCACGCCCAGAGGTGAGGAAAGGCAGAGGTTGGGGCAATGGGTCCTGCCCGGCTTGTGGAAAATCACTTCCCATCCCAGCCTCAGCCTCCTTCTCTGTACAATGGGGGTGACCCATGCTTCTCTCTGTTGGAATGGTGGGGTCCCAATCAGTGATTTCCTGCATATCCTGGGCAGCCCAAGGGCCTGGGAAATGACAAGCGTAGTCCTAGTGGATCCCCTCCTTTCACCCCTCCTGACTGAGGACTTCCCATGAACCCGGCACACTCCAGGACCCAGGGGTGCAGCACTGAGCCAACCAGGCCGCCCTCCGACCCTGTGAAGTCCCCCTGTCTGGCACTATCGTCGTTGTTGTGGCTGCTGTTCCACTGGAGACTTAGAAGCAGGGATTTCAGCGCAGACATTTCCAGTCTAGGCAGGAGGTTCTCAGCTGGAGAGAAGGGTCTAGAGTTCCCGCTGGGCTTGGCTTCTCAGGACCCAACATGTCTGTGGATAAAATGAGCATGAGAGACTCTCCTGTGTGCCAGGCAGTGGGAAGACAGGGGTGGAGGGGCGGTGGCTCTTATTATCAGCTCCTAGGAGAGGGGCAGTGCACCCGGGCTCTGGGTGATGGGGGGATCAGGGCCCCCAAGAAGAGGCGCCACTCCCGCTTCGCCAGGCTTGCCCCAGGGCCAGGGTCCGTGCCAGGTGTGGGTGGTGGGTGGGAAGGGGTGGGGTGAGTCATCAGGGCCAGCCCTGCCCTGCTTTTATTTAAGGTCCCCAGCAGGCCCCACCACCACGGCTGCCCAACCCGGTCCCAGCCATGTCCGTGAGTGCTCCAGGGGCCCGGGGCGGGGCCAAGCAGGGAGGGGGCTGGGGGCTCCTCTTTCAAAGGAGCAAGTGGGCAGTGAGTGTGCCACGGACTGGCCTGGGCTGTGGCCTCCGGGTAACCCCCATCCCGACTGTCCTCTCTACCTCTTTGTGGCTTCCTCTGGGGCCCTCTTTGAGGATCTTTCTGTTTGTCTTTGTTGCTCTCCCCATCTGTTTCCCTGTCTGTTTCTGGTCTCTTTCCTGCCTCTCCGCCAACCTTTCCTCTTCCACTGATTTCTGCCAGTCTCAGCCCTGGTCGGCTCCTCTGAGGGGTGACCCACCTTCTGCCTCCCTCCTTCGGTCTCACCGGCTCACAGTGGCCCCTGCACCCCACTCTTGCAGAACGTCCCCCACAAGTCCTCGCTGCCCGAGGGCATCCGCCCTGGCACGGTGCTGAGAATTCGCGGCTTGGTTCCTCCCAATGCCAGCAGGTGAGGCCCCAGGCCCTAGGGGTAAAGGGTACAGGTCTCAGGATCAGCTGACTCCCAATTTTTGCAGTCCAGAAGTAGGGGCCCGAGGCCACCTGTATCCACCAGGCTAGGAGTCCGAGGCCATTTCTGACCTCAAATCTGATGTATTCGTATTTGCCCCCGTGCCTTTGTGGCTGGGGTCCCTAAGTTTCCCTAAGCATTTGAGGTCCCTGGGTAATCTCAGGGTTCCTAGATATAGTCCTATGACTTCCATGTCTGAGTCCCAGGGAACTCTGGAAATACTCCAAGTCCTGGAGACACCCTGGACCCTGGGAGTCCTTGCCAAGCCATCCTTTGACTTCCTGGCTAAGGAACTTCGGGCCTTCTGGATTCTGAGGTACCCTGGAAATACTGGGGTTCCTGGTATTATTCTTTGTCCTGTAGAAGCTGAGGATTCCCTGAGCATCAGGAGCACCCTGGCTATCACCCAGACCTCCTGGGCAGCTCCCAGGCTCTTTGGAAATGAGGGCACCCTGCCCTAAGTGTAGTGAGTTTGGTCTGGGTAGGTTTCTGCCAAGGGCCTCATGATATTTTGGCTGCCTTGGGAATCTAAGCTCCCTGGTCATTAGTCGCCCACCTCTCCTTCTGCGGTGTGTGCCTGTCTTCAGGTCCCTGTTAATTTGGGGGTACTCTGGGAATGGGGAGTGCCAGCCCATAAGACCTTCACTTTGGTCTGGGCGGTTTATGTTTTGTTTGTTCTTTCGTTTTTTTGTAAGGTGGGGTCTTGCTATGTTGCCCAGGCTGGTCTTTAACTTCCGGGCCCAAGCGATCCTCCCTTCTCCACCTCCCAGAGTGCTGGGATTACAGGGTGAGCCACTGCACCCAGCCAACATTTCATTTACTTATTCATTCAAAGTAAATTGTAGACATCGGTATTCCTCACCCTCAACATTTCTTGGTCTGGGTGGTTTCTGAGCCCTGACGGCCACCATCCCCCTCTTCCAGGTTCCATGTAAACCTGCTGTGCGGGGAGGAGCAGGGCTCCGATGCCGCCCTGCATTTCAACCCCCGGCTGGACACGTCGGAGGTGGTCTTCAACAGCAAGGAGCAAGGCTCCTGGGGCCGCGAGGAGCGCGGGCCGGGCGTTCCTTTCCAGCGCGGGCAGCCCTTCGAGGTGCTCATCATCGCGTCAGACGACGGCTTCAAGGTGCGTCTCAGCGACAGGGGCGTGGACGCCAAGACTTAGGTCCCTGGAGCAGAGGGTTGGGCAAAGCCAGGCTATTGGTGGAAGGCAGGGAGGTTCGGGGCGGGGTGAGGGGGGTAGGGAAGTCGTGGCCAAGGCGGAGAAGGGTGTCCTTCGACCCTCTCTGTCGCCTAAACAACTCCCACTTGGGTCCGAGGGACAGAGAGACAGCAGGGTCAGGACGAGGCGAGCACCAGCCAAGTGTCCAAGGGGTGGGCGTCCTAGCGGGAAGGCGTGGCCCAGACTCGCCATCCCAGACCCTACTCCCAGTTCATTCCTTCCTGAGGTCCGGGGTTTGAGGCATGGGGAGGGATGGGTTGGAAACAGCGCCCAGGAACTCGTCCTAGCAAGGATTGGCGGGTGGGAGTGGCGGCAGATCCTCCACCACCCACAGCTTACGCGAATTCACCTCCCTCCTCTGCGCTTTAATAGCGGGTAATGGTCGCTGAAATGAGAATATCCATTACCAGCACTAAAAAAGCCGCTTTTTACTGTGCCACACAGTCAACTCGTTTGATCCTCACGCAAGAGTTAGAATGAACAATAGCCCCATTTTCCCAGTGAGGAAACTGAGGCCCAGAGGGGATGAGTGATTTCCCCAGGGCCACCCAGCACGGGCCTCCGGAATCCTCACCACCGACCCTCCCCTGCAGGCCGTGGTTGGGGACGCCCAGTACCACCACTTCCGCCACCGCCTGCCGCTGGCGCGCGTGCGCCTGGTGGAGGTGGGCGGGGACGTGCAGCTGGACTCCGTGAGGATCTTCTGAGCAGAAGCCCAGGCGGGCCCGGGGCCTTGGCTGGCAAATAAAGCGTTAGCCCGCAGCGCGACTGTGTCTGTGTCCCATTCACTGAGATGAGCAAACTGAGACCCAGAGAGGCCAAGATACTGGCTCCGGGCCACACAGCGAATCCGAGGCGGAGGCGGGCTCTGAGCCTGCCTGTGCTTAGGACACCTTCTGTCTGCGAAGGCGTGAGGGTCGCGATCTGGGAAGGAGTGGGTGTGGGGCGTGCCCTGACGCAGCATTTGTGCAAAGCAAGCCAGCTGGGAATGCGGTCGGGCGGACCTGCTGGCGTTTGGGGCGCAGAGGCGCTCACCGCAGGTCCTGGTGCCCCCACTGCAGATCTAAGGGGCGCCAACATGGGTCCATCTGCAAAGGGGGCGAATGAGTCCCACCTTTCTGGTCATTTGTGGGCCCCAATCCTACGGGTGGAAAGCGTGTTATAATATCCCGGGTCCCTGGGTCCCGTATCCCCCTGCAGCTCATCTCTCCCACCCTCTTCTCTCCTGGCCTCCCGCCCCTAGAGACGTCCCAGGTGGGGCTGGGAAGCCCGACGGGCGTCTCCGGGCTCCCGCTGTTCCCCGAGTCGGGACAGGTACCCGCCTGCGCACCCTCGGGGCAGACGCGATGGCAGCGGCCCCGGCTCTGCGGAGCAGCGGGGAGGACTCGAAGGGCGGCGCGGGGTTTCCGTGGCGCAGCGAGCCCCATTCCCACGCGCCCTCCGCTCTCCCCGACGGCCCGGACCCCGGTCCTAGCCCTGGTCACTGTGACGGGAGGGGAAGCGGACGCCAAGTGCAGCCCCGGCCCCAGTGTGACTTTCAGGGTTCAGGGCGTCGCTGGGGCTCCCCTTAATGGCGGGGTTGGGGTGGGAGAGGCTGGGAGCACTGTGAGCCCCGAGCCCGCACCCTCGGCGAGGCACCCTGCAGCGACCGCGGGCCTTAGCCGGGGACACAGAAGCCACGCCAGGGCTGAGATCGGAAGCTGCACGTGGGTGCTCGGGACCGGCTGTTCCGGAACCTTCGTCCGGATCCACGCCTTGGTGGGCGCGCCCAGGCTTGGGCCTGCATCCCCGCCCTTGAGCTTCCGTCCCCCTGGCGGCCGCCGCCGTCTTTGCTGCCTGGACCAAGGCGGATGCAGGAAGCTGGGGTGGTTCCTGGCCTGGCCTGAATCTGATTCTGGTGTCGGGTGGGGACGCCAGGTTCGCCGCGGGGCCCAGGCGCATTCAGGACCTGGGGTTTTCTGCCCCTGCGACCCTCGGGCTGGGCAGTCTCTTCCCGCGTCCTGCCCTGGAGTGGGTGGGCGGTAGTCAGGAGGGAGCCCTGCTCAGGTGAGGAGGCCTGGGAGAGGCCGGATTCTTTTAGTCCTCCGGGGCTCGTGCTTGAATGAGTTAGCTCTTATTTCATTTGGCTGTGACGAGTGGTTTCAACATACTATTTTTTTTTTCGTAAAGATAACATATGCATGTGGTACACATTTCAAAACATACAGTGAAATGAACATATTATTGGCACAAGTGGTGAATGTGGTTGGGCCTTCGGATTAGATGGTAGCGATTCAGCCGTGTTAATGTCCCGATTTTCACCGTGCCTTACAGTGTGCACGTGGGAACCTGTCCCTGTTTGTGGAAAACATAGTTAGGTATTTGGAGATGCAGCATGTTTGCGATTTTTTCTCAAATGGTTCACCGAAAATGGAGATTTGGAGCTGGGCGCGATGCCTCAGGCCTGTAATCCCAGCACTTTGGAAGGCTGATGTCGGAGCATCGCTTGAGGCCAGGTGTATGAGACCAGCCTTGATAATATAGCAACAGCCCGATCGCTACAAAAAATTTAAATATATAACAAATGGAGATTTATACTGTTATTTTTGTGTGTTTGTCATTTATAAATATACGTGTATATATGTATATGCACATATATGTACACATACATCTATCCTCTTTACTGGGAGAATACTGCTGTTTCCCTGGTCTTCATTTCATGTGTATCTTTCAGAAAATCCCCTGTGGACCTCTGCACATATGCACGGGTAGTTTCTTCCCCTCCATGCATAAATGGTAGCACCCTCCACCCACTGGACCGTTTTCATGGCTTAGGAACGTGAGTCCCAGCAGCATTCCCTGAGTTCCTACTATGTGTAGCCGCTGCGCTAACCATTCCTTCAATCCCCGAAACAACCTTCTGAAGGAGATCCTCTATGCATAGTTTCCTAATGAGGAATTTGGTGCCCACGAAGGTTGAGTGAATTGGTTTAAGATCACACATCAAGTAGATGGTGGACCCAAGTGAATGCGATTCCTCTCCTTGGGGTCTTAGCCTCTGGAAATTACATTTTGTTTGCTTTCATTTATTACTTTATACATGTGTGTGTGTGTGTGTGTGTGTGTGTGTGTGTGTGTGCGCGTGTGTGTGTGTTTGTGTATATGTATATATGTATATGTGTGTGTATATATGTATATACATATATATATATATATCCGTTTTTGTTTTTTTTTTTTTTTGAGACAGAGTCTCGCTCTATTGCCCAGGCTGGAATGCAGTGGCGCAATCTTGGCTCACTGCAACCTCCACTTCTTGGGTTCAAGCGATTCTCCTGTCTCAGCCTCCCGAGTAGTTGGGATTACAGGTGTGTGCCACCATGCCCAGCTAATTTTTGTATTTTTAGTAGAAATGGGGTTTCACCATGTTGGTCAGGCTGGTCTTGAACTCCTGACCTCAGGTGATCCACCCACCTCAGCCTCCCAAAGTGCAGGGATTACAGATGTGAGCCACTGCACCCAGCCACTTTTTATATATTTTCAAAGACAACGTCTTGCTCTGTCTCACCCAGGCTGGAGCATAGGGGCATGATCCCAGCTCACTGAAGCCTCGACCTCCAAGGCTCAAGCGATCCTCCTGACTCAGCCTCCAGAGTACCTGGGACTACAGGCACGCACCACCGTTCCTGGCTAATTAAAAAAAAAAATTTTTTTTTAAGGACAGGGTCACTCAACCTCTGTAGGCATCAAATTCCTCATTGGGAAGTTTCCCAATTGGGAACTCAAGGAAGGGTTGGCACAGTGGCTAGACACAGTAGGAACTCCTGGACTCAAGCAATCCTGCTGCCTCAGCCTCCCAAAGTGCTAGGAACAGAGGCGTGAGCCACCTCACCTAGCCTTGGTGTTTTTAATATCAACTTCATTGAGATGTCATTTATACACAGTAAAATTCTTCCTTTTAAAGTGTACAGTTTTGGCTGGGTGGGGTGGCTCACGCCTGTAATCCCAGCACTTTGGAATGCCGAAGCAGGTGGATCACCTGAGGTCAGGAGTTCGAGACCAGCCTGGCCAACATGGTGAAACCCCATCTCTACTAAAAATACAAAAATTAGCTGGGCATGGTGGCGCATGCCTGTAATCCCAGCTACTATGGGGGCTGAGGCAGGAGGATCGCTTGAACCTGGGAGGCAGAGGTTGCAGCGACCCGAGATGGTGCCACTGCACTCCAGCCTGGGCAACAGAGCAAGACACCATCTCAAAAAAATAAATAAGTAAATAAAAAAAATTTTAAAAAGTGTACATTTCCGTGAATTTAGACAAACACATCCCATTGTGTGGCCACCATGATCAAGGTAGAGTCTACTTATGAGATTTCCATCACCCCTCCCAGCCACACCCCTGGCACCTGGGTGGTGACCACTGATCCACTCTCAAGCTTCATAAATTAGTTTTTCCTGCTCTAAAACTTGGTGGAGGCTGGGCGCGGTGGCCCTCTCCTATAATTCCAGTACTTTGGGAGGCTGAGGTGGGTGGATCACCTGAGGTCAGGAGTTCAAGACCAGCCTGGCCAACATGGTGAAACCTGTCTCTACTGAAAATAGAAAAATTATTTGGGCATGGTGTCGCATGCCTCTAGTCCCAGCTACTCGGGAGGCTGAGGCAGGAGAATCGCTTGAACCTGGGAGGTGGAGGTTGCAGTGAGTCGAGATCACGTCACTGCACTCCAGCCTGGGGGACAAGAGCGAAACTCCTTCTCTAAATAAATAAATAAATAAATAAATCTGGGTAGAAAAGTATAGTACTCTTTTTGTAAAAGTCTGGCTACTTCTGCTTAGCGCACATAATGTTTAAGTTCATTCGTGTGTTTTCTTCATGCAGTTCATTTCTTTGGGTTGTAATCCATTGTGTGAACCTGAGTTTGCTGATCTGTTCACCTGTTGATGTACACGTGAGTTGTTTCCAGTGTGGATGTTTATGAATAAAGATTGTATGAAAAGTCTTTTTGTGGGCTGATGTTTTGATTTCTTTTGGGTAAATACCCAGGAGTTGAGTTGCTGTGTCATATAAGTGTATGTTTAAGTTTATTTATTTATTATTATTATTATTTGAGCCAGGGTCTCCCTCTGTCACTGAGGCTGGAGTGCAGTGGCACCACCATAGCTCACTGCAGCCTCCACCTTGGCTCAAGCAATCCTCCTGCCTCAGCCTCTAGAGCAGCTGGGACTATGGGTGTATGCCACTATGCATAGATAATTTTTATTTGATTTTATTTATTTATTTATTTATTTATTTATTTATTTATTTATTTATTTTTGAGATGGAGTTCCACTCTGTCACCCAGGCTGGAGTGCAATGACGCGATCTCTGTTCACTGCAACCTCCACTTCCTGAGTTCAAGCGATTCTTGTGCCTCAGCTTCCCGAGTAGCTGGGATTACAGACGTGTGCCACCATGCCCGACTAATTGTTTGTATGTTTAGTAGAGGCAGGGTTTCATCATATTGGCCAGGCTGGTCTTGAATTGCTGACCTCAGGTTATCCACCTGCTTCGGCCTCCCAAAGTGCTGGGATTACAGGCATGAGCCACCACGCCCAGCCTAATTTTTAAATTTTTTTTAGAGGCAAGGTCTCACTGTATTCTCCAGGCTGGTCTCAAACTCCTGGGCTCAAGCAATCCTCCTGCCTCAGCCTCCCAAAATGGTGTGGTTACAGGCATGAGCCCCTGTGCCCTGCCCAATATGCTTACCTTTATAAGAAATTTCAGGTCGGGCGTGGCGGCTCATGCCTGTAATCCCAGCACTTTGGGAGACTGAGGCAGGTGGATAATCTGAGGTCAGGAGTTTGAGACCAGCCTGACTAACATGATGAAACCTCGTCTCTACTAAAAATACAAAAATTAGCCAGGTGTGGTGGCAGGTGCCTGTATTCCCAGCTCCTCGGGAGGCTGAGGCAGGAGAATCGCCTGAACCCGGGAGGCGGAGGTTGCAGTGAACCGAGATCATGCCATTGCACTCCAGCCTGGGCGACAGAGCAAAACTCCGTCTCCAAAACAAAACAAAACAAAAAACAAAATGAACAACAACAAAAAACACTTCAAGTTTGTGATCTGCTCAGGAAAAAAAGAAAGAAATGGCCAAACTATTTTTCAGTATGATTGAACCACTCTATACTCCCAACCTTCAGTATATGAACATTTCAGCTAAGCTTTATCCTTATCAATACTTGGTATTGTCAGGTTTTGGGGTTTTTTTGTTTGTTTTAATTTTATCCATTCTAGTGGATGTTTATTGATATTTCATTGCTGTTTCCATTTGCATTTTCCTTTAATGTTCTTGACCATTATTTGACATGCCTGTGGCCATTCGATATCCTCTCTTGTGAATCGCCTGTTCAAATCTTTTGCTCATTTTCAATTGGATTGTTTATTTTCTTCTTATTGAGTTGCAAGAGCTTTTCATATTTTCTGGATATTTCCTTTGTCAAATATATGTAATATGAATATTTTCTCTCCTTCTGTGGTTAGCCTTTTCATTTTCTTTTCTTTTTTTCTTTTTTTTTTTTTTTTTGAGACGGAGTTTTGCTCTTGTTGCCCACGCTGCAGTACAATGGCAGGATCTCGGCTCACTGCAACCTCCACCTCCCAGGTTCAAGCAATTCTCCTGCCTCAGCCTCCAGAGTAGCTGGGATTACAGGCGCCCGCCACCACGCTAGCCAATTTTTGTATTTTTAGTAGAGACGGGTTGTCACCACATTGGCCAGGCTGATCTCAAACTCCTGACCTCAGGTGATCCACCCACCTTGGCCTCCCAAAGTGCTGGGATTACAGGTGTGAGCCACCGTGCCCGGCTAGCCTTTTCATTTTCTTTATTTTTAGTTTATTTTATTTTTTGAGACAGAGTCTCTCTCTGTCGCTCAGGCTGGCGTGCAGTGGCACAATCTCAGTTCACTGCAACCCCCTCCTCCCAGGTTCAAGTGATTCTCCTGCCTCAGCCTCCCAAGTAGCTGGGATTACAGGCACCTGCCACCATGCCTGGCTAATTTTTGTATTTTTAGTAGAGATGGGGTTTCATCATGTTGGCCAGGCTGGTCTGGAACTCCTGACCTCAGGTGATCCACCCACCTCGGCCTCTCAAACTGCTGGGATTACAGAGGTGAGCCCCCACGCCTGACCGAGCCTTTTTATTTTCTTAAAGATGTCTTCCTCAAAACAAAAGTCTAATCGTGATGGCGTTCATTTTATCAGTTATTTTTTCTGTTATGTAGTGTGCTTTTGTGACCTACTTAAATCTTTGCTTAAGAAATCTTCGTGAGAAACATTTGTCACAAAGATTTCTTTTTACATTTTATTGTAGAAGGTTTATAGTTTTAGCATTTAAGTTTAGTTTTTAAACCTTAGTTAATTTTTTTTTTTTTTGAGATGGAAATTCACTCTTGTCAACCAGGCTGGAGTGCAATGGCGTGATCTCGGCTCACTGCAATCTCCACCTCCCGGGTTCAAGCGATTCTCCTGCCTCAGTCTACTGAGTATCTGGGATTACAGGCACCCGCCACCACGCCCGGCTAATTTTTGTATTTTTAGTAGAGACAGGGTTTCACCATGTTGGCCAGGCTGTTCTTGAATTCCTGACTTCAGGTGATCCACCCGCCTTGGTCTCCCAAAGTGCTGGGATTACAGGCGTGAGTCACAGCACTCGGCCTAACTTTAGTTAATTTTTGTCTCATTAGTTAATATATTATTTCTAGTTAATTTTTAGTTATTTTTAGTTAATTTTTGTGTGTGGTATGAGTTAAGGGTCAAGGTTCTTTTCTCACTCTATAGATGTCCAGTTATTTCAGCACCATTTGTTGAAGTGACTGTTTTTTCTCCTCATTGAATTATATTGGCAATTTTGTTAAAAATTAATTGACCATTTTTGTTGTTTTAAATCTGGACTTAATCATTCTTCTGATTCCTTGATTTATATATCTATCCTTATCATGATAGCATATTCCTGATTACTGTAGCTTTATAGTGAGTCTTTCTCTCTTTTTTTTTTTTTTTTTTTTTTTGAGACGGAGTCTTACTTTGTCGCCCAGGCTGGAGTGCAGTGGCGTGATCTCTGCTCACTGCAAGCTCCGCCTCCTGGGTTCACGCCATTCTCCTGCCTCAGCCTCCAGAGTAGCTGGGACTACAGGCACCCACCACCACGCCCGGCTAATTTTTTTGTATGTTTAGTAGAGACGGGGTTTCACCGTGTTAGCCAGGCTGGTCTCTTAACTCCTGACCTTGTGATCCACCTGCCTCGGCCTCCCAAAGTGCTGAGATTACAGACGTGAGCCACTGCGCCTGGCCTTTTTTTTTTTTTTCCTTTAAAAAAGACGGAGTCTCTCTCTGTCACCCAGGCTGGAGTGCAATGGCACAATCTCAGCTCACTGCAACCTCTGCCTCCTGAGTTCAAGCAATTCTCCTGCCTCAGCCTCCTGAGTGCTGGGATTACAGGTGCCTGCCACCATGCCCAGCTAATTTTTGTAGTTTTAGTAGAGATGGGATTTCACCATGTTGGTCAGGCTGGTCTCGAACTCCTGACCTCAGGTGATCTGCCCACCTCGGCCTCCCAAAGTGCTGGCATTACAAGCATGAGCCACTGCGCCTGGCTTCTTCTTCTTCTTTTTTTTTTTTTTTTGAGACAGATTCTCACTTTGTTTCCCAAGCTGGAGTGCAGTGGTGCGATCACAGTTCACTGTGGTTTCAACCTCCTGGGCTCACCCTCCTAAGTAGCTGGGACTACAGGCACATGCCACCACACCCAGTTAATTTCTGTATTTTTTGGAGAGACATGGTCTCGCCATGTTGCCCAGGCTGGTCTGGAATTCCTGGGCTCAAGCCATCCACCCACCTTGACCTCCCAAAGTGAATAGTGAGTCTTAAAGTCACATTATATGCCTTGCAACTTTGTTCTCCTTTCTCAAAATTGTTTTGTTTATTCTATGTCATTTTCATTTTTCAATACATTTCAATGGATACTTGTACAAAAATTGTATCTGTGTTTCTATTTTGTTCTTGAGTCAGTTTTGGTAATTTGTGTCTCTCTAGGGATTTGTTCATTTCATTTAAATTGCCTAATTAGTTGACCTAAATCTGTTCATAATATTCCCCTGTGATTTTTTAAAATTTGTGTACCATGTTAGTGTTTTTCCCTCCTTCATTCTTGCTTTTGGTAATTGAGGGCTTCTGTCTTTTTTATTTTTCTTACTCTTTTGTTGAACTTTTTAATGAGCTAACTGATTTCATTGAAAACCAGTATACTAGTTTGTTTGTTTGTTTGTTTGTTTTTGAGACAGAGTTTCACTCTGTCGCCAAAGGCTGGAGTGCAGTGGTGTGATCTCGGCTCACATCAACCTCCACCTCCGGATTCAAGCGATTCTCCTGCCTCAGCCTCCTGAGTAGCTGGGATTACAGGTGCCCACCACCATGCCCCACCAATTTTTGTATTTTTAGTAGGGACGGGGTTTCACCATGTTGGCCAGGCTGGTCTTGAATTCTTGATCTCAGGTGATCCACCTGCCTCGGCCTTCCAAAGTGCTGGGATTACAGGTGGGAACCACTGCACCCGGCCCAGTTTTGCTGATCTTTTCTTTTTTTGAGACAAGAGTCTCACTCTGTCACCCAGGCTGGAGTACAGTGGCATGATCTCGACTCACTGCAACCTCGGCCTCTTGGGTTCAAGTGATTCTCCTGTCTCAGCCTCCAGCTGGGATTACAGGTGTGTGCCACCATGCCCAGTTAATTTTTGTATTGTTAGTAGAGACAGGGTTTCTCCATGTCGACCGGGCTGGTCTCGAACGCCTGACCTCAAGTGATCTACCCACCTTGGCCTCTCAAACTGCTGGGATTACAGGTGTGAGCCACCACACCTGGCCTGTTAATCTTTTCAATACCGGTTTTGTTGATGTTTTCAATGAGCCAATTTCAGTTTCATTGCTTTTTCTCTATTGTTTTTATATTTCTGTTTCATTGCTGTCCATTTAGATCTTTATTACTTCCTTCTTACTATTTTCTTTGAGTTTGATTTACTCTTCTTTTTCTAGCTTTGGAGGTGGAAGCCTAAATTATTGATTTTAGGCCTTCTTTCCATTCTAATGTGTTGGGGTTTTTAAAATTTTCACCAGGCTGACTCAACACTAATATGTTTTTTAAGCTATAAGTTTCCCGCTAATTACTACATTGCCAGCATCCTGTACATTTTTATTTCCTGTGTTTTTGTTTTTATTCAGCTCAAGGTATTTTCTAAATTCATTTTTGATTTTTTTTTTTTTTTTTTTTAGATGGAGTCTCACTCTGTCACCCAGGCTGGAGTACAGTGGCGTGATCTCAGCTCACCACAACCTCCACCTCCCAGGTTCAAGCAATCCTCCTGCCTCAGCCTATCAAGTAGCTGGGACTACAGGCATGAGCCACCACGCCCAGCTAATGTTTGTATTTTTTAGTAGAGACACGGTTTCACCGTGTTGGCCAGGCTGGTCTCGAACTCCTGATCTAAGGTGATCCACTGGCCTTGGCCTCCCTTGGCTGGGATTATAGGCATGAGCCACCACACCTAGCCAGATTCCTTCTTTGACACATAGGTCATCTACAAGTATGTTGTTTAGTTTTCTTATATTTAGAGATTTTCTAAATTTCATTTTATTGTTGGCTTTTAGCTTAGTTCCATTATAGTTAGAAGTAATACTTTTTAAATTATTTTTTATTTTTACTATTATTATTTTCTAATAGAGATGGGGGTCTCATTATGTTGCCCAGGATGGCCTCAAACTCCTGGGCTCACGAGATCCACCTGTCTTATCTCACATAATAATTTCTTTCCCTCCCACCCTCCCTCCCTCCCTCCCTCCCTCCCTCCCTTCCTTCCTTCTTTCTTTCTTTCTTCTTCTTCTTTTTTTTTTGAGATGGAGTCTCTCTCATCCAGGCTGGAGTGCACTGATGCAATCAGCTCACTGCAACCTCTGCCTCCTGGGTTCAAGTGATTCTCCTGCCTCAGCCTCCAAGTAGTTGGGACTAAAGGCAGGTGCCACCACACCTGGCTAATTTTTGTATTTTCAGTAGAGATGGGGTTTTGCCATGTTAACTGGGCTGGTCTGAAACTCCAGACCTCAGGTGGTCCACCTGCCTAAGCCTCCTAACATGCTAGGATTACAGGCGTGAGCCACTGTGCCCGGCCCAATCCTATGTCTCTCTCTTTTTTTGTGTGTGTTTTTTTTTTTAGATGGAGTCTCTCTCTATTGCCCAGGCTGGTGTGCAGTGGTGTGATCTCAGCTCACTGCAACCTGGTTCAAGTGATTCTCCTGCCTCAGCCTCCCGAGTAGCTGGGACTACAGGTGCCTGCCACCACACCCAGCTAATTTGTATTTTTAGTAGAGTTGGGGATTCACCATATTGGCCAGGCTGGTCTCAAACTCCTGATCTTGTGATCTGCCCGTCTTGGCCTCCCAAAGTATTGGGATTACAGGTGTGAGCCACTGCATAGCTGGCCTCTCCTTATCTTAAAAAAAAAAAAAAAAAGAGGAGATTGAGGCAAGGCGAAGTTTTAAATTTTTAAATAATAATAACAATAATAATTATTATTATTATTATTTTGAGACAAGATCTCGATCTGTTGCCCAGGTTGGAGAACAGTGGTGCAATCTCGGCTCACTGCAACCCCCGCTTCCCGTCCTCAAGCCATCCTCCCACCTCAGCCTCCTGAGTAGCTGGGAATACAGTCGCACACCACCATGCCCAGCTAATTTTTGTATCTTTTCTAGAGACAGAGTTTCACCATATTGCCCAGGCCGATCTCAAACTCCTGGACTCTAGGGGTCTGCCTGGGTCAGCCTCCCAAAGTGCTTGGATTACAGGTGTGAGCCACCATGCCCAGCCAAGGGGAAGTTTTCAAAGGCAAAATGAGGAGGATTACATAAAGTGTTTTGAATCAATTATCCTTGGCTACGAGACTTGAAACAAGGGTGGCATCAGTCCAAGGTTGGACAGGCAGTTACTGGACAAAAGTACTTTCTGTGTAACGTTGCAGTGGACTTTGTGCGAGGTTGTGGTTTTTGGAGAGTCTTCCGCAATCGTTCCTATCAGGCATTTGTGCATGAGCACGCTCCTTTCATGACCTTCCCGGTTCCTTTTTTTTTTTTTTTTTGAGACGGAGTTTCACTCTTGTGGTCCAGGCGCTGGAGTGCAATGGTGCGATCTTTGCCTCTTGGATTCAAGTGATTCTCCTGCCTCAGCCTCCTGAGTATCTGGGATTATAGGTGCCCACCACCAGTCCCGGCTAATTTTTTGCATTTTTAATAGAGACAGGGTTTCACCATGTTGGCCAGGCTGGTCTCCAACTCCAGACCTCAGGTGATCCACCCACCTCGGCCTCCCAAAGTGCTGGGATTACAGGTGTGAGCCACCACACCTGGCCCAGTCTCTGGTTTTCTATATGGTCATCTATACGGTCTTAAGTTCTAAGAAATGCATGGTTAGGCAATTTCGTCAGGGTGTGAACATCATAGAGTGACTTATGCAAACGTAGATGGTACAGCCTACCCCACACCTAGGCTATATAAAGTAACCTACAGCTCATAGGCTACAAGCATGCACAGCATTTAACTGTACTGAACACAGTGGGCAATTGTAACACAATGGTAAGTATTTGTGTATATAAACATATCTGAACATAAAAAAGGTACAGTAAAACTATGGTATAAAAGATGGAAAATGGGCCAGGAGCAGTAGTTCATGCCTGTAATCCTAGCACTTTGGGAAGCTGAGGTGGGCAGATCACTTGAGGTCAGGAGTTCGAAACCAGCCTGGCCAACATGGTGAAACCTCGTCTCTGCTAAAAATACAAAGAAGTTTAGGCCAGGCACGGTGGCTCACGCATGTAATCCCAGCACTTTGGGAGCTGAGGTGGGCGGATCACGAGGTCAGGAGTTTGAGACCAGCAGGACCAGCATGGTGAAACCCCATCTCTACTAAAAACACAAAAATTAGCCAGGCATGGTGGCACGTGCCTGTAATCCCAGCTGCTTGGGAGGCTGAGGCAGGAGAATCGCTTGAACCCGGGAGGCGGGGGTTGCAGTGAGCCAAGATCATGCCACTGCACTCCAACCTGGACAACAGATAGAGACTCTGGCTGAAAAAAAAAAAAAATACAAAGAAGTTAGCCAGGTGTGGTGGTGCACGCCTGTAATCCCAGCTATTTGGGAGGTTGAGGCAGGAGGATCACTTGAACCTGGGAGATGGAGGTTGCAGTGAGCGGAGATCATGCCACTGCACTCCAGCCTGGGTGAGAGAGTGAGACTCCATCTCAGAAAAATAAATAAAAGATGACAAATGGTACGCCTGTATGGGACACTTACCAGGAATGGAGCTTGCAGGACCGGAAGTTGCTCCAGGTGTGAGTGAGTGAGTGGTGAGTGAATGTGAAGGCTAGGACAGCACTGTACACTCCTGTAGACTTTATAAGCACTGTACTCTTAGGCTACCCTAAATTTAAAAAAATAAAGTAATTGTGCTACAGCATTGTGATGGCTGCAGCATCACTAGGTGATAGGAGTCCGGCTTCGTTGTAATTTTATGGGACATTGTCGCATGTGCAGTCCATCACTGACTGAAACGTGGTGATGCAGCACCCGACTGTGTATGTCACCTAGTCAGGGATACAGGCCAGGTGTGGTGGCTCACGCCTGGAATCCCAGCATTTTGGGAGGCCGAGGTGGGATGATTGCTAGAGGCCAGGAGTTTGAGACCAGCCTGGGCAACATAGTGAGACCCTGTCTCTACAAAAAAAAAAAAAAATCAAAAATTATCCAGGTGTGGTGGTGTATACCTGTGGTCCCAGCTACTAGGGAGGATGAGGCAGGGGGATTGCTTGAGACTGGGAGTCTGAGGTTACAATGGGTTATGATCATGCCACTGCACTCCAACCTGAGTGACAGAGCAAGATCATGTCTCTAAAAAAATACAGTGCTATATAACTGGGTTTTTTTTTTTTTTTTTTTTTGAGATGGAGTCTCAGTCTGCCACCCAGGCTGGAGTGCAGTGGCGCGATCTTGGCTCACTGCAACCTCTGCTTCCTGGGTTAAAGTGATTCTCCTGCCTCAGCCTCCCAAGTAGCTGGGATTACAGGCACCCGCCACCATGCCCGGCTAATTTTTGTATTTTTAGTAGAGATGGGGTTTCCATGTTGGCCAGGCTGGTCTTGAACTGACCTCAGGTGATCCCCCCCACCTCAGCCTCCCAAGGTGCTGGGATTACAGGCGTGAGCCACTGTGCCTCGCGTTTTTTTGTTGTTGTTGTTTTTGAGACAGAGTCTCGCTCTGGAGCGCAATGGCATGATCTCAGCTCACTGCAACCTCCACCTTTCAGGTTCAAGCCATTCTGCTGTCTCAGCCTCCTGAGTAGCTGGGACTAAACGCGTGCACCATCACACCCAGCTAATTTTTTGTATTTTATTTATTTATTTTTATTTATTTGAGATGGAGTCTTGCTCTGTCGCCCAGGCTGGAGTGCAATGGCGTGATCTTGGCTCACTGCAACCTCCACCACCTGGGTTCAAGCCATTCTCCTGCCTCAGCCTCCTGAGTACCTCGGACTACAGGCAGCCACCATCATGCCTGGTTAAGTTTGTATTTTTGTAGAGACAGGGTTTCACCATGTTGACCATGCTGGTCTCATATTCCTGACCTCACATGATCCACCGCCTCGGCCTCCCAAAGTGCTGGGATTACAGGCGTAAGCAACCATGCCCGGCCTTATAACCTTTCCTTTATTTATTTATTTATTTATTTATTTATTTATTTATTTAGATGGAGTTTCGCTCTTGTAGCCCAGGCTGGAGTGCAATGGCATGATCTTGGCTCACCGCAACCTCTGCCTCCCAGGTTCAAGCGATTATCCTGCCTCAGTCTCCCGAGTGGCTGGGATTACAGGTGCCTGCCACCATTCCCAGCTAATTTTTATATTTTTAGTAGAGACAGGGTCTTGCCATGTTGGCCAGGCTGGTCTTTAACTCCTGACCTCGGATGATCCACTGTCCTTGGCCTCCCAAAGTGCTGGGATTACAGGCATGAGCCACTGTGCCTGGCATAACCTTTACTTTAAACAATTTTATATATATATATTTTTTACAATTTTATTTATTTGTCTGTCTATTTATTTTGAGACAGAGTCTTGCTCTGTCACACAGGCCAGAGTGCAGTGGCACAATCACAGCTCACTGCAGCTCCGACCTCCCAGGCTCCAGCAATACGCCCACCTCAGCCTCCTGAACAGCTGGGACTGGACTATAGGTTTGCACCACCATGCCTGGCTAATTTTTGTATTTTGGGTAGAGATGGGGTTTCACCATGTTGCCCAGGCTGGTCTTGAATTCCTGAGCTCAAGCAATCCACCCACCTTGGCCTCAAAGTGCTGGGATTACAGGTTTGAGCCACCATACCCGGCCTTATATGGTTTTTTTCTTTTTTTTTTTTTTTTTTTTGAGATGGAGTCTTGCTCTGTCGCCCAGCCTGGAGTGCAGTGGTGCAATCTCAGCTCACTGCAAGCTCCGCCTCCCAGGTTCACGCCATTCTCCTGCCTCAGCCTTCCGAGTAGCTGGGACTACAGGCACCCGCCACCACACCCGGCTAATTTTTTTTGTATTTTTAGTAGAGACGGGGTTTCACCACATTAGCCAGGATGGTCTCGATCTCTTGACCTCATGATCTGCCTGCCTCGGCCTCCCAA
This sequence comes from Homo sapiens, assembly GCF_000001405.40. Classification (NCBI taxonomy): domain Eukaryota; kingdom Metazoa; phylum Chordata; class Mammalia; order Primates; family Hominidae; genus Homo; species Homo sapiens. The sequence continues at coordinate 165,655 of NW_014040929.1, read as the reverse complement.
AGTGCTGGGATTATAGGCGTGGGCCACCGTGCCCAGCCTGACCTTATGTTTTAAAATAAATTAAAAGAAGAAAAGAAAAATACATTTCTGGGGCTCTTCATTTCTTCCTGTGGATTTGAGTTTCTGTCTACTGTCATTTTCAGTGTGAGGGGTTTCCTTGAGTATTCCCTGCGTTTAGGTATATGCTAGTCAGGAATTCTCTTTTTGTTTATCTGGGAATGATTTTCTTTTGCCTTTTGTTTTGAAGTATAGTTTTGTTGAATATAGAATTATCAGTTGACAGTTTTATTTTTCTTTCAGTGTTTTGAATAAATCATTCATCTGCCTTCTGGCCTCCATTGTTCCTAGGAGAATCTAGCCATTAATTCTATTGTTCCCCTGTACATAATGAGCTGTTTTTCACTTGCTCCTTTAAAATTTTCCATTTTCCTGGCACGGTGGCTCACGCCTGTAATCCCAGCACTTTGGGAGGCCAAGGAGGGTGGATCACGAGGTCAGGAGATCGAGAACATCCTGGCTAACACGGTGAAACCCCGTCTCTACTAAAAATACAGAAAATTAGCCAGGCGTGGTGGTGGGTGCCTGTAGTCCCAGCTACTCGGGAGGCTGAGGCAGGAGAATGGTGTGAACCCGGGAGATGGAGCTTATAGTGAGCCGAGATTGTGCCACTGCACTCCAGCCTGGGCGACAGAGTGAGACTCTGCCTCAAAAAAAAAAAAAAATGCCCTTTTTGAATTGTTTTCAGCAGTTTTACTTTCACTCGCGTCCGTGTGAAGAGACCACCAAACAGGCTTTGTGTAAGCAATAAAACTGTTTATTTCACCTGGGTGCAGGCGGGCTGAGTCTGAAAAGAGTCAGCGAAGGGAGATAAGGGCGGGGCTGTTTTTATAGGATTTGGGTAGATAAAGGAAAATTATAGTCAAAGGGGGGTTCTCTGGAGGGCAGAGTGGGGGTCACAAGATGCTCAGTAGGGGAGCTTTTGAACCAGGATGAGCCAGGAGAAGGAATTTGACAAGACAATGTCATCAGTTAAGGCAAGAACAGGCCATTTTCACTTCTTTTGTGGTGGAATGTCATCAGTTAAGGCAGGAACCGGCCATCTAGATGTGTACGTGCAGGTCACAGGGGATATGATGGCTTAGCTTGGGCTCAGAGGCCTGACATTCCTGTCTTCTTATATTAAGAAAAATAAAATGAAATAGTAGTAAAGTGTTGGGACAGTGAAAATTTTTGGGGGTGGTATGGAGAGATAATGGGTGATGTTTCTTAGGGCTGCTTCCAGCGGTATTAGGGGCGGCGTGGGAACTTAGAGTGGGAGAGATTAAGCTGAAGGAAGATTTTGTGGTAAAGGGTGATATTGTGGGGTTGTTAGAAGAAACATTTGTCGTGTAGAATGATTGGTGATGGCCTGGATACGGTTTTGTATGAATTGAAAAACTAAACGGAATAAGAGAAGGAGAAAAACAGGTATTAAAGGACTAAGAATTGGGAGGACCTAGGACATCTAATTAGAGAGTGCCTAAGGAGGTTCAGCATAGCCTTGCCAGCAAAGATTATTTATTTACTTCAAGAGTTAAGAGTGGCAGTTTGGGGATAGCACGAGGAGATATCAGCTGTGATGGCTTGGAGAAACTGTGTAAACTGGCAGTGTAAACAAGAGCAGGGCATGCATGAGTAGTTGAGAACGGTGAATAGGAGTATGACTAGACAGAAGATAGTAGGGATGACAAGTTATTTGGGGGCACAGTCTAAGTTGGTCTGGTGTCTGGAATGAGACTGGGGCCTAATAAAAAGGAGTGTCTATACAGGAACTTAAATGGGCTGTATCTTGTAGCATTCTGAGGACAGGCCTGAATTCTGAGAAGCGAAAGTGGTAAAAATATTGTCCAGTCCTTTTTAAGTTGGTGGCTGAGGTTGGTGAGGTGTGTTTTAGTCTGTCACTGAATACTAAGAGCCTGAAAAAATGCTTGGCTGATTTGACAAATAAAGGCTGGTCTGTTATCAGACTGTATAGAGGTGGGAAGGCTAAATTGAGGAATTACGTCTGACAGAAGGGAATGATAAGGCTAAACTGAAGAATTATGTCTGACAGAAGGGAAGAAATGACTGTGGTGGCCTTCTCAGACCCTGTAGGAAAGGACTCTACTTATCCAGTGAAAGTGTCTACCTAGACTAAGAGGTGTTTTAGTTATCTTACTCGGGGCATGTTGAGTAAAGCTAATTTGCCAGTCCTGGGTGGGGGCAAATCCTCGAGTTGATGTGTAGGGAAGGGAGGGGGCTTGAATAATCCATGAGGAGTAGTAGAATAGCAGATGGAACACTGAGAATTTATTTCTTTGAAGATAGATTTCCACAATGGAAAGGAAGTGAGAGGTTCTAAGAGGCAGGCTAGTGGCTTGTACTATAGCATAGCCTGCCTTTGCTGGTGTGTGGCGATTAGGCCTGGTGGAACTGCCATCAATAAATCAAGCGTGATCAGGGTGAGGAACAGGGAAGAAGGAAATGTGGGGAAATGGGATGAATGTCAGGTGGATCAGAGAGATGCCGTCATGGGGGTCAGGTGTGGTATCTGGAATAATGTGGGAGGCCGGATTGAAGTCCGGGCCAGGAACAATGGTCATTGTGGGACTTAACAAAGAGTGAGTACAGCTGAAGGAGCCAGGGAGCAGAAAGTATATGCGTCAGGTGTGAGGAAGAAAATAGATTTTGGAAATTATGAGAGCTGTAGAGAGTGAGTTGAGCATAGTTTGTGATTTTGAGGGCCTCTAAAAGTGTTAAAGCAGCGGCAGCCGCTGCACGGAGACATGAGGGCTAGGCTAAAACAGTAAGGTCAAGTTGTTTGGGCAGAAAGGCTACAGGGTGCGGTCCTGGCTCTTGTGTAATAATTCTGACCGAACTAACCATGCCTAGGAAGGAAAGGAGTTGTTGTTTTGTAAGGGATCGAGGTTTGGGAGATTAATCGGACACAAGCAGCAGGGAGAGCACGTGTGTTTTTATGAGAATTATGCCAAGATAGGTAACAGATGAGGATGAAATTTGGGCTTGACTGAAGTAATGGGGTCTGTCTGTGAAGCCTTGAGGCAGTACAGCCCAGGTAATTTGCTGAGCCTGATTGGTGTCAGGGTCAGTCCAAGTGAAAGCAAAGAGAGGCTGGGATGACAGGTGCAAAGGAATAGGAAAGAAAGCATGTTTGAGGTCCAGAACAGAATAATGGATTGTGGAGGGAGGTACTGAGGATAGGAGAGTATATGGGTTTGGCACCACAGGGTGGATAGGCAAAACAATTTGGTTGATAAGGCGCAGATCCTGAATTAACCTGTAAGTCTTGTCTGGTTTTAGGACAGGTAAAATGGGGGAATTGTAAGGAGAGTTTATAGGCTTTAAAAGGCCATGCTGTAACAGGCGAGTGATAACAGGCTTTAATCCTTTCAAAGCATGCTGTGGGATGGGATATTGGCATTGAGCGGGGTAAGGGTGATTAGATTTTAATGAGATGGTAAGGGGTGCATGATTGGTCGCCAAGGAGGGAGTAGAGGTATCTTATACCTTTGGGTTAAGGTGGGGGGATACAAGAGGAGGATGCAAAGGAGGCTTTGGATTGGGAAGAAGGGCGGCAATGAGATGCAGCTGTAATCCAGGAATAGTCAGGGAAGCAGATAATTTGAAGTGTCTCGGCCTAATTAGGGAACTGGGCAGGTGGAGATAACTAAAAGGAGTGCATAAAAGAATATTGTCTAAGTTGGCACCAGAGTTGGGGAGTTTTAAGAGGTTTAGAAGCCTGGCTGTCAATACCCACTACAGTTATGGAGGCAAGGGAAACAGGCCTTTGAAAAGAAGGTAATGTGGAGTGGGTAGCCTCCGTATTGATTAAGAAGGGGACGGACTTACCTTCCACTGTGAGAGTTACTTAAAGCTTGGTGTCCGTGATGGTCTACGGGGCTTCCGAGGCAATCGGGCAGCATCAGTCTTCAGCTGCTAAGCCGAGAAGATCTGGGAAGGAGTCAGTCAGAGAGCCTTGGGCCAGAGTTCCAGGGGCTCTGGGAGTGGCTGCCAGGTGAGTTGGACAGTCCGATTTCCAGTGGGGTCCTGCACAGATGGGACACGGCTTAGGAGGAATCCTGGGCTGCGGGCATTCCTTGGCCTGGTGGCCAGATTTCTGGCACTTGTAGCAAGCTCCTGGGGGAGGCGGTTCTGGAGGAACGCCTGGCCACTGCGGTTTAGGCGTTTGGAGGTTCTTTTGTGCTGGAGATGTGGCTGAGGTTTGTCTCACAGTGGAGGCAAGGAATTGCAACTCAGAAATATGTTGCTACTTGGCTGCCTCTATTATTGTACACCTTGAAGGCGAGGTTAATTAAGTCCTGTTGTGGGGTTTGAGGGCCGGAATTTAATTTTTGGAGTTTTATTTAATGTCGGGAGCAGATTGGGTAATAAAATGTATATTGAGAATAAGACGGCCTTTTGACATTTTAGGGTCTAGGGCTGTAAAGTGTCTCAGGGTTGCTGCCGAACGAGCCATGAACTGGGCTGGATTTTTATATTTGATGAAAAAGAGCCTAAACACTATCTGATTTGGGATAAAGGAAAAGGAGCATTAACCTTGACTATGCCTTTAGCTCCAGCCACCTTTTTAAGAGTAAATTGCTGGGCAGGTGGGGAAGGGCTAGTCACGGAACGAAACTGTAAGGGGGACCGGGTGTGAGGAGGGGAGGCGATAAAAGGATTATAGGGTGGAGGAGCGGAGGCTGAGGAAGAATTGGGACCTAGCTCAGCCTAGCAAGGAGGGGAGAGGTCAGATAGGTCTGTAGAAAAGGAAGATTAGAAAGACTCAGTGACACTTGGGGTTGGGACTGAGGGGACAGGTGGGAGGGAAAGAAGGAAGATTTGGGACGAGTTGCATTGGGAACAGAGGCTAGGGAGAGCCTGATGTGTAAAAGAATGCCTGGATGTCAGGCACCTCACACCATTTGCCTATTTTATGATAAGAATTATTTAGATCTTGTAGGATGGAAAAATTGAAAGTGCTGTTTTCTGGCTATTTGGAACTACTGTCAAGTTTGTATGGGGGTCAAGCGGCGTTTCAGAAGAAAATTAGATGCTTAGATTTTACATCAGGTGAGAGTTGAAGAGGTTTTAAGATCTTAAGAACACAGGCTAAGGGAGAAGGAGGAATGGAAGGTGGAAGCTTGCCCATAGTGAAGGAGGCAAGCCCAGAGAAAAGAGAGTAGAGACATGGAGAAGGGGTGGGGGGGTTCTTGCCCTCCAGAAAAGCAGAGAAGGGGTTGGGGCACAGAGATAAGAGGTTGGGGTGCAGAAATAAGGGATGGGGCACAGAGATAAGAGGTCTGGGCATGGAAATAAGGGATCGGGGTGCAGAGATAAGAGGTCGGGGTTCCTGTCCCTCCTCCAGAAAAGCGGGACTTGCTACTAAGGGTGAAGGAGAAGGGGTTGAGGGGTTCTTGCCACTCAGAAAAGCAGAGAAGGGGTAGAGACACGGAGAGAAGGGGTTGGGGTACTTGCCCCTCCCCCAGAAAAGCGGGACTTGCCACTAACGGTGAAGGAGAAGGGGTTGAGGGGTTCTTCTTTTGTGGTGGAATGTCATCAGTTAAGGCAGGAACCGGCCATCTAGATGTGTATGTGCAAGTCACAAAAGATAATGATAGCTTAGCTTAAGCTCAAAGGCCTGACATTTACTACGATGAATCTAGATATGGCTCTCTTTGTATTTATACTTCTTGGAGTTTGTGTAAATTAACGTTTACACCAAGTTTGAAAAGTTTCCAGCCATTAATGCTTCAAAAATTTTTCTCCTTCCTCTCCTTTCCCCAGAGTCCTATTATACATATGTTTGTTTGCTTGATGTTATTCAGCTGGTCTCAGAGGCGCTTTTCTTTTTTCTTTTTTTTGAGATGGAGTCTCGCTCTGTTGCCCAGTCTGGAGTGCAGTGGCGCAATCTTGGCTCACTGCAAGCTCCGCCTCCTGGGTTCACACCATTCTCCTGCCTCAGTCTCCCCAGCAGCTGGGACTACAGGCACACGCCACCATGCCCAGCTAATTTTTGTATTTTTAGTAGAGATGGGGTTTCACTGTGTTAGCCAGGATTGTCTGGATCTCCTGACCTTGTGATCCGCCCACCTCAGCCTGCCAAAGTGCTGGGATTACAGGCGTGAGCCACCTCACCCAGCCTTTTTATTTTTGAGACAGAGTCTTGTTCTGTTGCCCAGGCTGGAGTGTAGTGGTGCGATCTCGGCTCACTGCAACCTCTGCCTCCTAAGTTCAAGTGATTCTCCTGTATCAGCCTCCCAAGTAGCTGGGACTACAGGTGCCTGCCACCATGCCCGGCTAATTTTTGTATTTTTAGTAGAAACGGGGTTTCACCATGTTAGCCAGGCTGGTCTCGAACTCCTGACCTCAGGTGATCTGCCCGCTTCGGCTTCCCAAAGTGCTGGGATTACAGACGTGAGCCACCGTGCTCGGCCTTTTATTTTTTAAATTGAGTCTTTGCAAATGTTTGATATATGCTTGAAAATCATGAGTGTATATAGATGTAATGAGTGTGCATATATATTAAATTCACTGTATTCTATTATTCAAAATATCACATTTTAAAAGACTTGATATTTGAAGAATAATGGTGGTTTCAAATTACCCATGACCACTACTGTGTTTCTGTGTATTTTTCCTTTTGTTTCTAATAGTGTAATAAATGATCACTTTTTTTTTTTTTTGAGATGGAGTCTCACACTGTCACCCAGGCTGGAGTGCAGTGTCTCACTGCAACCTCTGCCTCCCAGGTTCAAGTGATTCTCCTGCCTCAGCCTCGTGAGTAGCTGGGATTACAGGCACACACCACACCTGGCTTTTTGTATTTTTAGTGGAGCCAGGTTTCACCATGTTGGCCAGGCTAGTTTTGAACTCCTGACCTTGAGTAATCCGTCTGCCTGGGCCTCCCAAACTGCTGAGATTACAGGCGTGAGCCATCGCTCCCAGCCTTTTTTTTTTTTTTTTTAGACAGAGTCTTGTCCTGTCACCCAGGCTGGAGTGCACTGGCACAATCTGGGCTCACTGCAACCTCCACCTCCTGGGTTCAAGTGATTCTTGAGCCTTAGCCTCCCGAGTAGCTGAGATTACAGGCATGCACCACTATGCCCAGCTAATTTTTGTATTTTTAATAGAGACGGGGTTTCACCATGTCGGCCAGGCTGGTCTCAAACTGCCGACCTCAAGTGATCCACCTGCCTCAGCCTTCCAAAGTGCTGGGATTGCAGGCATGAGCCACTGCACCCATCCAATCACTTTTCATTCTGGATCATACACTTTATCAATAGAAAATAACTCCTTTTGTCCAAAGTAATGCTATCTGCTTTAAATCCGGTTTTCTCTAATATCAGATTTGCCCTGATTTTTGTGTATCTGCTTTTGACTGATAGCTATTTCTAATCCTTTTATTTTAAAACTTGGTGGTGTTATCTTTGGAAAGTGTTTTGAAAGCTAAACAGTTGAATTTTGTTTGTTGATGTTCCCAAGTACGTTTCACACATTTGCATAATGTTGTTATAACTGATATGCTTGGTTTTATTTAGGTCATTGTGTGATGCTTTTTGCTTTTATTTTCTATGATTCGCTGCATTTTCCTTTGCTTTTCGACCATTGCCAAATAGATTACATTTTCTTTTCCTTTCATTTTAAGCTACTTCAGTGGTTTGAAAGTTGTACATCTGGCCAGGTGCAGTGGGTCAGGCCTATAATCCTAGCACTTTGGGAAGCTGACATGGGAAGTTTGCTTGAGCTCAGGGATTCAAGACCAGCCCTGGCAACAAAGTGAGACTCCATTCCACCAAAAAGTCTAAAAATTTGCTGGGTATGGTGGCACAAGCCTGTGGTCCCAGCTACTCAGGAAGCTGAGGCAGGAGGATTGCTTGAGCCCGGGAGGTCAAGGCTGCAGTGAGCCAAGATTGTGCCACTGCACTCCAGCCTGGGCAACAGAGTCAGACCCTGTCTCAGAAACAAAACAAAACAATACAAAAAAAGAAACAGTAAGACATGGCGCGGTGGCTCCTGTCTGTAATCCCAGCACTTTTGGAGGCCAAGGCGGGTGGATCACCTGAAGTGAGGCTTTCAAGACCAGCCTGACCAATATGGTGAAACCCTGTCTCTACTAAAAATACAAAAATTAGCCAGCCGTGGTGGCACATGCCTGTAATTCTAGCTACTCGGGAGGCTGAGGCAGGAGAATCACTTGAACCTGGGAGGCGGAGGTTGTAGTGAGCCAAGATCACGCCACTGCACTCCAGCCTGGGTGACGAGGCGAGACTGTCCCAAAAAATAAACCAACAAACAAGTGAAAGAAACAGCAGCCCAGATCCAAGGAGACAGGTTGACTGTGGATGGCCGAGGCCGCCCACCTCGGCCTCCCAAAGTGCTGGGATTACAGGCGTGACCCACCACGCCCAGCCAGAAAGCTCGTTTTGTAACCCACTTTTGGTAGCCATGTACGTAGGCAGCTTGGACAATATCTGTGGGTCCACTTGGAGGGAAGGAGGCCAGAAGGCTTGAGGGACATCTGAGTGGCATGGAGGTGACAAGGCTCTGGGAGGGCAGCAGACACTCTTGAACGCCAAGGCATGGTCAATGCCTCGTGCAGTGAGCAGCGACTCTGTGTCAGGCACTTCTCTGAACTCATCCCACGTACGAACTCATTCGCTTCCCACAGCAACCCTCCGAGGTACGCCCTATCATCATCCGCATTGCAGAGATGAGGAAACTGAAGCACAGAGAAGTTAAGTGATGTGCCCAAAGACACACAGGTGTAGGTGGCAGAGCTGGGATTGGACCCCAGGTGCTGTGGCTCCTAATCCCGGCAGGCTGGAAGCACTCCCATATGACTCCCGTGGGGCTGGGGTGGGCTTGGCAATCCTACACGAAGAAAACTTTTTTTTTTTTTTTTTTGAGATGGAGTCTCACTCTCTCACCCAGGCTGGAGTGCAGTGGCGTGATCTTGGCTCACTGCAACCTCCGCCTCCCAGGTTCAAGCGATTCTCCTGCCTCACCCTCCTGAGTAGCTGGGATTACAGGTGTGTACCACCATGCCCAGCTAATTTTTTTTTTTTTTTTTTTTTTTGAGACAGAGTCTTGCTCTGTCAACCAGGCTGGAGTGCAGTGGCGGCTCACTGCAAGCTTCGCCTCCTGGGTCCACGTCATTCTCCTGCCTCAGCCTCCCGAGTAGCTGGGACTACAGGTGGCCGCCACCATGCCTGGCTAATTTTTTGTATTTTTTGTAGTAGAGATGGGGTTTCACCGTGTTAGCCAGGATGGTCTTGATCTCCTGACCTCGTGATCTGCCTGCTTTGGCCTCCCAAAGTGCTGCTGGGATTACAGGCTTGAGCCACCGTGCCCGGCCTTTTTTTTTTTTTTTTTGAGATGGAGTTTTGCTCTCTTGCCGAGGCTGGAGTGCAGTGGTGCAGTCTTGGCTCACTGAAACCTCCACCTCTCGGGTTCAAGCGATTCTCCTACCTCAGCCTCCTGAGTAGCTGGGATTACAGGTGCGTGCCACCACACCCAGCTAATTTTTTTGTATTTTTTAGTAGAGATGGGGTTTCACCATGTTGGCCAGGCTGGTCTGGAACTCCTGACCCGCCCGTCTCGGCCTCCCAAAGTGCTGGGATTACAGGCGTAGTAAACTACCGCGTCCAGCCTAATTTTTGTATTTTTAATAGAGATGGTGTTTCACCATGTTGGCCAGGCTGGTCTTGAACTCCTGGCCTCAAGTGTTCTGCCCACCTCAGCCTCCCAAAGTGCTGGGATTACGGGCATGAGCCACCATGCCCGGCCCTGTTTTGGGGGGTTTTTTGAGATGCAGTCTTGCCCTGTTGCCCAGGCTGGAGTGCAGTGGCACAATCTCGGCTCACTGCAACCTCCGCCTCCCAGATTCAAGCGGTTCTCCTGCCTCAGCCTTCTGAGTAGCTGGGATTACAGGTGCCCGCAACTATGTCCGGCTAATTTTTGTATTTTAGTAGAGACGGAGTTTCACTACATTGGCCTGGCTGGTCTCGAACTCCTGACCTCAGGTGATCTGCCTGCCTCGGCCTCCCAAAGTGCTGGGATTACAGGCATGAGCCACCACGCCCAGCCAGAAAGCCTGTTTTGTAACCCACTTTTGGTAGCCGTGTACGTGGGTGGCTTGGACAATATTTGTGGGTCCACTTGGAGGGAAGAAGGCCAAAAGGCTTGAGGGACATCTGAGTGGCGTGGAGGTGACAAGGCTCTGGGAGGGCAGCAGACACCCTCAACGAGGGTGGAAGGTCTGCTGGGACCAGCACTGCTGAGGCTCTGGCATCTCCGTACCTGTTTCTCCCATTTCCTCCAATGGCTCCAGAGTCCTTTGGGGGAAATACTGCTCCATCCAGACTCTGAGTGGCGTGGGCCAGGGCAGGGCATCATGGTCACCAGATGGCTCCCAGCACAGGAGAGGTACAGAGCCATCCCTCCAGGGTCAGCCTCCCTGGGCAAGCAGGCTGAGTCTACCTTGTCCGGGAGGGGAGGAGGCGCATCCTGAGGGCTTAGGGGGCGTGAGCGGAGGGGAGCTCAGGGTCCCTCGGTGGATGATGGAGGAGCCACATATGGGTTACAGGGACAGACAGAAAGATGGAGAGGAAGAGACAGGGAGGCAGACACAAGGTACACTGACAGGGTCTGAAGGAGGAGGGGCTGGGGGCCTGGACTCCTGGGTCTGACAGGTACAGAGAGGAACAGACACACGCTGAAAGAGACACAAAGAGAGAGGGGACAGGCATAGTGATTCACGCCTGTAATCCCAACACTTTGGGAGGCCAAGCGGGGAGGATCACTTGAGCCCAGGAGTTCGAGACCAGTCTGGGCAACAAAGTGAGATCCCCGCCCCATCTCTACAAAAAAAAAAAAAAAAAAAAAAAGAGGGTGGGGTGGGGAGAGGGGTGGAGTTGGGGAAATACAGAGACACAAATATTGCCAGAAACAAAAAACAAGAAAGGGCCAGGCACAGTAGCTCACATCTGTAATCCCAGCTCTCTGGGAGGCTGCTGAAGCAGGAGGATCACTTGAGGCCAGCAGTTCAAGACCAGCCTGGGGAACATATGGGACCGCCCCCCGCCACCCCTCTGTCTCTACTTTAAAAAAAATTTTTTTTAATTAACAAAACCTGACCAGGCACAGTGGCTCACGTCTGTAATCCCAGCACTTTGGGAGGCCAAGGTGGGCGGATTGCTTGAGGCCAGGAGTTCAAGACCAGCCTGGTCAACATGGTAAAATCCCTTCTCTAACAAAAAATACAAAAATTAGCTGGGCATGGTGACACGAGCCTGTAATCCCAGCTACTTGGGAGGCTGAGGCAGGAGAATCACTTGAACCTAGAAGGCGGAGGTTGCAGTGAGCTGAGATCGTGCCACTGCACTCCAGAAACTGATGGAGAAGAAACATGAAGGCGGGGAGAGAGAAACTGTCAGAGGGAGGGGGAGAGAGGCAGTCTGAGAGATAGAGACACCGAGGTAAACCCGCCTCCTTCCCCAGCCCCACAGGCATAAGTAGGCAGAAGCTCACCCCCACACTGACCTCCTTCTTGGTGCTCTGACAGCGGCAGCCGGTCCTCCCTCAGCTCTGCCCGCCTTCTCTCCTGCTGCTGGCCAAGCCCATTAAGCTGCTACCTTGGCCACAACTGAAGGCCCCACGCCCTGGGAAGAAAGCTACTGAAGAGGCGTCCCTGCTCCCCAGCACCCCAAACCATCAATTAATATTAACGAGGGAAGGCTCCTCATTGCCTAAAGACCCCACTGGGGCTCCAATGGAAGAGAGGCCCCGCCCCCGTGACTCAGGAGGTTAAAGGGCCTGGTGCCGGCTTGTGAGGCCAGTGTCCAGATGGCATCCAGCAGTGGGAGGGTCACCATCCAGCTCGTGGATGAGGAGGCTGGGGTCGGAGCCGGGCGCCTGCAGCTTTTTCGGGGCCAGAGCTATGAGGCAATTCGGGCAGCCTGCCTGGATTCGGGGATCCTGTTCCGCGACCCTTACTTCCCTGCTGGCCCTGATGCCCTTGGCTATGACCAGCTGGGGCCGGACTCGGAGAAGGCCAAAGGCGTGAAATGGATGAGGCCCCATGTAAAGTGTGGCTGGGGTCTGGGCTCTGGGGTCTGAGGGAGGAGGGGCTGGAGGCATGGACTCCTGGGTCTGAGGAAGGAAGGCTGGGGGCCTGGACTCCCTGGTCTGAGGGAGGAGGGGCTCGAGACCTGGACTCTTAGGTCTGAGGGAGGAGGGGCTGGGCCTGGACTCCTGGGTCTGAGGGAGGAAGGGCTGGGCCTGGACTCTTGGGTCTGAGGGAGGAGGGGCTGGGGACCTGGACTCCTGGGTCTGAGGGAGGAGGGGGCTTGGACCTGGACTTCTGGATCTGAGGGAGGAGAGGCCAAGGCCTGGACACCTGGGTCTGAGGGAAGAGGGGGCTGGGGACCTGGACTCCGGGGTCTGAGGGAGGAGGGGCTGGACCTGGACTCCTGGGTCTGAGGGAGGAGGGGCTGGGGACCTGGATTCTTGGGTCTGAGGGAGGAGGGGCTCGGGACCTGGACTCCTGGGTCTGAGGGAGGAGGGGCTGGGCCTGGACTCCTGGGTCTGAGGGAGGAGGGGCTCGGGACCTGGACTCCTGGGTCTGAGGGAGGAGGGGCTGGGCCTGGACTCCTGGGTCTGAGGGAGGAGGGGCTCGGGACATGGACTCCTGGGTCTGAGGGAGGAGGGGCTGGGCCTGGACTCCCGGGTCTGAGGGAGGAGGGGGCTACCATGGGACTGGCTCAGCACAACTTCTGGAGACCCAGGGAAGCCATGCTCCTGCCCACAGGCTTCCAGGCCTTTCATGGGCTTGGAGGCCCTCACTCCTCTGGATGAGACCTTTCCTCGCTTTCTCAGGCTGAGGCCTGGAATCCCCCACCACCCACAGGAGTTCTGTGCTGAGCCGAAGTTCATCTGTGAAGACATGAGCCGCACAGACGTGTGTCAGGGGAGCCTGGGTGAGACCCTGAACCCACCTGGAGTCCTCAGATCCAGCTAGTTTCAGCTGAGATCCTGACAGCTCCATCCCTTTGTCCACCCACTCCCGGCCCCTGGATCCCTCCTCAGTCTCTTCTCTCCCTAGGCCTCTCTCTCCCTCCTCCCTCCTTCCTTCCTTCCTTTTTTTTTTTTTTTTTTTTTTTGAGATGGGGTCTCACTCTGTCACCCATTCTGGAATACAGTGGCACCATCATAGCTCACTGCAGCCTTAACCTCCTGGACTCAAGCAATCTTCCTGCCTCAGCCTCCCAAGTAGCTGGGACTACAGGTGCATGCCACCATGCCCAGCTAATTTTTAAATTTTCTTGTAGTGGAGTCTTGCCATGTTGGCCAGGCTGGTCTTGAACTCCTAGGCTCACGTGATCTTTCTGCCTTGGCCTCCCAAAGTGCTGGGATTAGAGGCATGAGCCACCGCACCAGGCCTCCCTCCTTCCATCCTCACCTAATCCTGGCCTCTCCTCCCAGGTAACTGCTGGTTCCTTGCAGCTGCCGCCTCCCTTACTCTGTATCCCCGGCTCCTGCGCCGGGTGGTCCCTCCTGGACAGGATTTCCAGCATGGCTACGCAGGCGTCTTCCACTTCCAGGTACAGCTCAGTTCCTCTGCCCATGCCTCCGTTTCCCCCATGGTGACTTGGTGATATGGATTTTTCTTTTTTTTTTTTTTTGAGATGGAATCTCACTCTGTCATCCAGGCTGGAGTGCAGTGGCACAATCTCGGCTCACTGCAACCTTCGCCCCGCCCCCAGGTTCAAGCAATTCTCTGCCTCAGCCTCCTGAGTAGCTGGGATTACAGGCACCCGCCATCATGCCCAGCTAATTTTTTCTTATTTTTAGTAGAGATGGTATTTCACCATCTTAGCCAGGCTGGTCTCGAATTCCTGACCTCGTGATCCATCCGCCTCGGCCTCCCAAAGTGCTGGGATTACAGATGTGAGCCACCGCACCCGGCCAGCCATATGGATTTCATAGTTAACGTTGACTTGGGGCTGTAATTCCTGACTCTGGGACTGGCACAGCAGAGGCAGGGCCCAGGCAGGGTTGGAGGTTGGAAGCCGAGTCCGGCCCTGCATCTTCTCCCACCAGCTCTGGCAGTTTGGCCGCTGGATGGACGTCGTGGTGGATGACAGGCTGCCCGTGCGTGAGGGGAAGCTGATGTTCGTGCGCTCGGAACAGCGGAATGAGTTCTGGGCCCCACTCCTGGAGAAGGCCTACGCCAAGTGAGGACCCCAGTTCCAACCAGCTGCAGCCCTAAGTCCCCACAGCAGGCATCAAGCCACAGGGGGACCCAGAGTCCCCCAAGCTCTGCAATCCTCCAAACACCCCACCAAGAATCCCAAACCAAGTGACAACCGCCAGAACCCTCATATCACAACATCACCTGAGCAACTTCATGTTTTTTTTTTTTTTCTTTTTTTTTGAGACGGAGTCTCACTCACTCTGTCGCCCAGGCTGGAGTGCAGTAGCGCGATCTTGGCTCACTGCAACCTCTGCCTCCCAGGTTCCAGCGATTCTCCTGTCTCAGCCTCCCGACTAGCTGGGATTACAGGAGCGCACCACCATGCCTGGCTAATTTTTATATTTTTAGTAGAGATGGGGTTTCACCATGTTGGTCAGGCTGGTCTCCAACTCCTGATCTCAGGTGATCCACCTTCCTTGGCCTCCCAAAGTACTGGGATTACAGGTGTGAGCCACTGTGCTCAGCTGTACCTTCAAATCTTAAACCCCTCTCTCCATCAATATTTCACACAAAACATTCCTGGAGACCCCCAGTCACTCATAATTCTTAAGGATCCTGAAATCTCATATATCAGGCCCTGGATTCACCAAATCTGGGATTTATCCCCTCGGGTGAGCTGTATATCTTAGATTGTCTCTCCTGGTCCATTGAGAAATCTAAAGCACCCCCAAAATATTGGGGGTCACCCTGGGACCCTCAAATCTTTGCCTTTTCCCCATTCTGAGGCTCTGAAATTCCTGACAAGCCCCCATAGGGATGATCCCCCAAAGCGGACATCTACCAGAGGTTCAAGGTTTCAGACAGCACCAGGACTCTCAGAATTCTAACACAGCTCTCCCATGCCCCCCACCAAACCGAAGTCCTGGTCACCCCAAGGACCACAGGCCCAATCTCCAAGGGCTTCTGTATGTGCCACAGTTCCCCCCGTCAAGAGTCTGAATTTTTTTTTTTTTTTTGAGATGGAGTTTCACTCTTGTTGCCCAGGCTACAGTGCAATGGCGTGATCTTGGCTCACTGCAACCTTCGCCTCCCGAGTTCAAGCGATTCTCCTGCCTCAGCCTCCCGAGTAGCTGGGATTACAGGCATGTGCCACCACGCCCAGCTAATTTTTGTATTTTTAGTAGAGACGGGGTTTCACCGTATTGGCCAGGCTGGTCTCAAACTCCTGACCTCAGGTGATCCACTTGCCTCGGCTTCCCAAAGCGCTGGGATTACAGGCGTGAGCCACCATGCCTGGCCAAGAGTCTGAAATTGTTTTAGCTGGGTGTGGTGGTGTGCACCTGTGGGCCCAGCTCCTCGGGAGGCTGAGGTGGGAGGAGGATCGCTTGAACCCGGGAGTTTGAGGCTACAGTGAGATGAGATCACGCCACTGCACTCCGGCCTGGGCCACAGGGTGACCCTGGAAAAAGTCTCAAAACTTCAGGAATTTCCCCTGGGGATTCCACACCCTGAGACACAGGCCCCTGCAGATCCCAGGGCAGGGGTGCCTGAGACGCTTGTACTTGCCTCAACCCTCACCCCAGATCTGCCCCCACAGGCTCCACGGCTCCTATGAGGTGATGCGGGGCGGCCACATGAATGAGGCTTTTGTGGATTTCACAGGCGGCGTGGGCGAGGTGCTCTATCTGAGACAAAACAGCATGGGGCTGTTCTCTGCCCTGCGCCATGCCCTGGCCAAGGAGTCCCTCGTGGGCGCCACTGCCCTGGTAAGAGACCTGGACTCGCATGCGGAACCCCCACCAGGACCAGAGCACAGTCAGGGGTGTGGTGGGGTGGGCGGAGTGCTTCCTCTGTTCTCTGCTTCCGTTACTGGCTTAGGCTCGCTCATAAATCTAACTAGTCAAAAATAAATTCATTTGCTCTCATGAATCAGGGGCTTCAGGCACAGCTGGATCCAGATGCTGAGGGTGTTGCAACTATGTTTATTTCTCATTCTGTGTTAGTGTCACTCTCAGCCAGGCTCTCCCCTCATGGGCATAAAAGGATCCCCCATAGCTGCAGGTATCTCCTACCACCCTAGGGTTTATTTAAAAAAAAAAAAAAAAAGTGCCTCTTTCTGAGAATTTCAGTAAAAGTCCCAGGATTGATTCTCGTGGGCTTAGCTTGGGTCATGTGTTCATCTGTGACCCCATGACACACTCATTCATTCACTGAGTTGGTCTAACTCCTTCACTCATTCATTTACTTAAATCCTCTGAGTTACTGCTTCTCTTTTTCTTTTGTGTCTGTTTCTCTCTTCTGTATC
This sequence comes from Homo sapiens, assembly GCF_000001405.40. Classification (NCBI taxonomy): domain Eukaryota; kingdom Metazoa; phylum Chordata; class Mammalia; order Primates; family Hominidae; genus Homo; species Homo sapiens. Next base: position 149,114 of record NW_014040929.1, on the reverse strand, counting down.
TTTCTTTGTCTCTGTCTCTGTCTCTCTACTCTTTCCATCTTTTTTTTTTTTTTTTTTTTTTTTGAGACGGAATCTTGCTCTGTCACCCAGGCTGGAGTGCAGTGGCACGACCTTGGCTCACTGTAACCTCTGTCACCCAAGTTCAAGCAATTCTCCTGCTTTGCCTCCCGAGTAGCTGGGACTACAGGCGCCCGCCACCATGCCCAGCTAGTTTTTTGTATTTTTAGTAGAGATGGGGTTTCACTGTGTTAGCCAGGATGGTCTCAATCTCCTGACCTTGTGATCTGCCCGCCTCGGCCTCCCAAAGTGCTGGGATTACAGGTGTGAGCCACCACAACAGGCCTCTTTCCATCTATTTTGTTTGTTTTTGTTTTTGGAGGCAGGGTCTCATCTCACTCTGTCACCCAGGCCAGAGTGCAGTAGTGTCATCATAGCTCACTATAGCCTTGACCTCTGGGCTCAAGGGATCCTCCTGCCTCAGCCTCCAGAGTAGCTGGGACCACTGGTGTGCACCACCACGCCTGTTGAATTTTTAAAATTTTTGTAGACTTGGGGTCTTGCTATGTTGCCCAGGCTGGTCTTGGACTCCTGGCCTCAAGTAGTCCTTCCACCTCGACCTCCCTAAGTGCTGGGATTACAGGCGTGAGCCCGTACCTCCATCTCCTTTTGTCTCGTTTCCATCTCCCTTCCTCTCCTTTTCTCTTTCGCCTTCAGTCACTAACCCTGACATGGTCTCTGAGCTGCGTGCCATTCAGTTCAGTGCTCTGGTTGGCTCCTGCCTTGGTGGCAGGAGGTTGGGGGCAGGGAGGAGCAGCTGCCCTCCTGTCCCCTACCTTGGCCTCACCATCCCATCCCCTGCCCAGAGTGATCGGGGTGAGTACCGCACAGAAGAGGGCCTGGTAAAGGGACACGCGTATTCCATCACGGGCACACACAAGGTAAGTGTCCCCCATGGGTGGGGTGGCAGGCCATGTCCAGGCATCACCCCCACTGACGATGCTGCCCCAGGTGTTCCTGGGCTTCACCAAGGTGCGGCTGCTGCGGCTGCGGAACCCATGGGGCTGCGTGGAGTGGACGGGGGCCTGGAGCGACAGGTGGGATGGGTCTGGGGTGGGTGTGGGGCTGGACCCCACCTGCCCGCCCCTCACACCACAGTCTCTCCAGCTGCCCACGCTGGGACACACTCCCCACCGAGTGCCGCGATGCCCTGCTGGTGAAAAAGGAGGATGGCGAGTTCTGGTCAGTTCGTCAGGGTCCCAGCTCTGCCTCTGGGAGGGTCTCTGCCAAGGGGTTCAGGGAGGGCGAGCCCCAGTTGAAGGATGGGTCCTAATAGGGAGAAACTGTGTACATCGGTGGTAATTTTGGGGCCAGGTTCTATTTTGGGAAATCAAGGAAGAATTGGTAGTAATATTAGAGAACCTCTGATTGGAGTGGGTTTAAAAAAGTAGTAATATGAGGGGAATTTGAAGGCCTAGTTATCTGTGGAGGATTGAAAGGGATGGGCAGTATTTAGGGCAATGGAGGAAGGCTTGGTGATATTTGGGGCATTTCTTGAGATTTGGCAATGTTGAGGGGCTGAAGGGTACTTGTTGGTAATTTAGAGTCTGAGGGTCTTGCTATTTGGGGGTTGGTGGCAATTTAACGATATTTGGGGGCAGCTTGTGAATCTTGGCGATTTGTGGGGCATGTCTGAGGACTTGGAGGAATTTGGCAGAGCTAGAGGCCCAGGCATTTGGGGTTCATTTCTGGAGCCTGAAGGGTATTTGACAATATTTAAGAAATGTGAGGGGCTTTGGGATCTGGGAGTCATTTCCGGGATCTTGGGACCCCCTCGAGGTGGGGCCGGGCAGGGTCTGACTGGGCCACCGTGCAGGATGGAGCTGCGGGACTTCCTCCTCCATTTCGACACCGTGCAGATCTGCTCGCTGAGCCCGGAGGTGCTGGGCCCCAGCCCGGAGGGGGGCGGCTGGCACGTCCACACCTTCCAAGGCCGCTGGGTGCGTGGCTTCAACTCCGGCGGGAGCCAGCCTAATGCTGGTGAGGCCTGAGGGGCCCTGAGAGGCTTCCTGGGGTGGGGGGCGCTGTGGCCGGCTAGGAAACCCCCTTTTTTCCTCCTCCCTTAGAAACCTTCTGGACCAATCCTCAGTTCCGTTTAACGCTGCTGGAGCCTGATGAGGAGGATGACGAGGATGAGGAAGGGCCCTGGGGGGGCTGGGGGGCTGCAGGGGCACGGGGCCCAGCGCGGGGGGGCCGCACGCCCAAGTGCACGGTCCTTCTGTCCCTCATCCAGCGCAACCGGCGGCGCCTGAGAGCCAAGGGCCTCACTTACCTCACCGTTGGCTTCCACGTGTTCCAGGTGAGGTCCTGGGCAAAGCTGAGGCTGGAGGGAACCCGGAGGGTGGAGGGGCGGGGCCGGGCCAAGGAGCGGGGGAGGCATGGAGGGGCGGGGCCAGTGGGAAGAGGGGAGGTGTGGAGGGCGGGGCCAAGGGGGAAGAGGGGGAGTGGTGGAGGGGTGGGACTGAAGAGGATCGGGGAGGAGGGGAGGAGTGGAGGAGCAGGGCCAAGAGGGGGCGGCGCTGGGAGGGGAGTAGGGGGCTAGTAGGGCTGGGGGGCCAGGTCTCAGAGGGGAGAGGGAGCTAAGGGAATGAGAGGGAGGGGCTCAGGGACAGACAGAGGGACGAGGTTAGGGACAGAGAGAGGCTGGGGGTTAGAAGGGCCAGAGGGGACCAAGGATACAGAGAAGGCGCTGGGAGCGCAGATGGGGAAGGAAGAGTTGGGGAGGGGTCGGCGAGGGCCTGGGTCGGGGACTGCGGGGCAAAGGTTCAATAAGGGTCTAATAGGACGAAGAAGGAGGGAGAGAGCACAGAGGTGAGAAGGGGCAGGGAGGAGACCCTGAGCGGCGGCCACCTCTCCCCTGCCCCGACGCCCCTTGCTCTTGCTTCTTTCAGATTCCAGAGGAGGTGAGTCTGGGATGGGGTCAACCGGCCCTGGGGCTTGGTCAACCTGCCCTGGGGCTTGGTCAACCTGCCCTGGGGCTTGGTCAAACTGCCCTGGGGGTGGGGGGGCAGAGCCGGGTCCGGGGGCAGGGGAGGCGTGGACAGGGGTTAGGCAGGGTGGACGGGGCGCGCTGGAGGGTGCGGGGATGAAGGGCCGGGGGTGAGCCTGGTCCGTGGTCATGCCGCCCCGTCCCCAGCTGCTGGGCCTCTGGGATTCCCCGCGCAGCCATGCGCTCCTGCCCCGGCTGCTGCGCGCCGACCGCTCGCCCCTCAGCGCCCGCCGCGACGTGACCCGCCGCTGCTGCCTGCGTCCAGGCCACTACCTGGTGGTGCCGAGCACCGCCCACGCCGGCGACGAGGCTGACTTCACTCTGCGTGTCTTCTCCGAGCGCCGCCACACGGCCGTGTGAGCCCCGGGCACCCAAATCCGACCCCATCCCTGCCTAGACAGGCCCCGAGACCCCCGAGACCCCCGAGACCCCCGAGACCTGACCTGCCCCGCCCCCAGAACCCCTGCCCCGCCCCGCCCCGCCCCCAGAACCCCCGCCCCGCCCCGCCCCCAGAACCCCCGCCCCGCCCCGCCCCGCCCCCAGAACCCCCGCCCCGCCCCGCCCCGCCCCGCCCCGCCCGCAGAACCACCGCCCCGCCCCGCCCCGCCCCCAGAACCCCCGCCCCGCCCCCAGAACCCCCGCCCCGCCCCGCCCCCAGAACCCCCGCCCCGCCCCGCCCCCAGAACCCCCGCCCCGCCCCGCCCCCAGAACCCCCGCCCCGCCCCCAGAACCCCCGCCCCGCCCCCAGAACCCCCGCCCCGCGAGGATGAGCCCAGGGCTCCACGGTCCCTACCTAGACCCCACGCGATTCCTCACCTGAGACCCCGTCCCACACAGCCCCAGCTGGGGCAAACAGCCCCCTCCCCACTTCCCATCTGTAATTTGCAGGGAGATCGACGACGTGATCAGCGCAGACCTGCAGTCTCTCCAGGTGGGGACTGTTCCTGGAGGGGCGGCATGGGGCGGGGATCTTGGCCAGCGCTAAACTTCCGCCATGCGGCAGGGCCCCTACCTGCCCCTGGAGCTGGGGTTGGAGCAGCTGTTTCAGGAGCTGGCTGGAGAGGTGAGGAGGGGGATTGGACTGAGGGGGTATCCCGCTGCGGCCTCCCCTTGGGGACCCCCCTTCCCCCACCCCAGCATCTCAGGTGTCTCATTTTGCTTGCTTTTTCCTCCCTCCGGGCTTAAATCTCCTGACCTTTTCTTGAAATGCTCACAGCTCCTCCCTGCCTCAGGGCCTTGGGCTCAGTCCATACCCTCTCCCAGGACCACCCTCTCCCTCCTGACACCTCCAGCCAGGCTCAGGTCTCATCTAAGGTGCCCAGCCCTGGAAGCTCTCCCTGACCACCCCCCTGCCCCAGGCCGGTCTGCTGGCCCCCCACCAGCAACCACAGCCCAGTGCTTCCCCCGTCACAGCCCTGGCCCTGTGGGGACAGGTCTGTCTCCCCCACTCCTGGAGCTAGGGCTCTGAGGCTCTGTCAGCCCCTGCCGTGTCCCTAGCACAGGGCTTGGCCCAGAGCAGCTGGATGAGTAAATGGCCTCACAAGCCCTCTTTCCTGGACTAGGAGGAAGAACTCAATGCCTCTCAGCTCCAGGCCTTACTAAGCATTGCCCTGGAGCCTGGTGAGTTGGCTGGGATAGGGGCAGGAGGAGGGGTCTTAGCCAGGGGTCCTGCAACCAGAGCCGGTGCCACCCTATGTCTATGAACCCACCGCGCTGCTGGGAGTTGGGCTCAGGAAGCCAGGGCTCAGCCTGGCAGCATCTCCCTGCAGGGGATCTTGTGTGGGCCCCGTGACCTGGGCCACGGCTGCTCGCAAGCTCCCCTTCCGCTGAAAGGCAAGGCTGCCTTGAGCACAGACTGGGCACCCCCTGCCTGGATTTGAATCCCAGCTCTGCTAGGCGCAGCAGTCACTGGCTCCCTGTGCCTCGGCTTCTATAATATGGGACTGACAACATCACCTGCTTAAGGGAGTCACATCCACCCAGCCCTTAAAGTGGTGGCCAGAATGCAGGAAGTGCTGTGGTTTGACTTTGTTTTTCCTGTAGCCAGGGCCCATACCTCCACCCCCAGAGAGATCGGGCTCAGGACCTGTGAGCAGCTGCTGCAGTGTTTCGGGGTACATGGGGGGCAGTGCCTGGGTGAGGGAGGGAGTGGGGAAGGGGACGTTGGGGTCTCTCCTCCCCTTCTGGAGAGATTGACCTTAACCAGATGCCCCCGACCCCCAACACAGCATGGGCAAAGCCTGGCCTTACACCACTTCCAGCAGCTCTGGGGCTACCTCCTGGAGTGGCAGGTGAGGTGGGAGACTGGGCCTCTTCCCAGAAAGAGAGAAACCTTTACTAACAGAGACATAGGCACCCTGTGGGCTATCAGGTCCCCAGGGAACGAGGGGGTACTGGACTAGGCTGACTTGGAGAGATCTGGCTGGGATATCCCTGCCCCCACCCAGCCTCAGCTTGTCCTCTGGGTCATTGCTCTTATTCCCATTTTACAGATTGGGAAACAGAAGTCCCAAGTGGCTAGGCTGCTTGCTGGGGGTCCACACCAGAAGAAAGGGAGTTGGGATGGGCACCAGGCTGTCTTGCCTGGGAGGCCCCATTGGCAGCCCTCTTCAGGGCATGGAGGGCAGCCCTGACTCATCCTTCCTGCCCAGGCCATATTTAACAAGTTCGATGAGGACACCTCTGGAACCATGAACTCCTACGAGCTGAGGCTGGCACTGAATGCAGCAGGTGTGGACAGGGTCCTGGGGTGGTCGTGGGGACAGGACCTGTTCTCTCCCATCCCATTGTCTCCAAGTCCCCCTGCTCAGCTGTGGCCGTCTGCACTGTGGCCATCCACAGGCCCACACCTTAGCTTGTTGCCAGTCCCTGGCAGGGGTTGGGTGACCCTGAAAGAGGCCAAATAAGGAAGGAGAAGGGCAAGGGGCGTGTGTGGGGTGGGGAGGACATGAAAGGGGGATGTGCCTGGTAGGGGTTCTGGGGCAGGGAGAGGCCCCTCCAGGAAGGGGAAGATTAGGAGCTGGTATCTGAGAGGGTCTGGCCCCCAGGGCAGCATGGTAGAATGTTCTGGATTCTGGTGCACCGGGGTTGGAATCCTCACTCTACTGACTCCAGGAGGGGCCCTGGGCACTTGACTTCATCTCTTTGAGCCTCCATTTTCCTCTCTAAAATGGCCAGGGCCTGGTGTGGTGGCTCACACCTATGGTCCCAGCTACTCAGGAGGCTGAGGCTTGAGGATGGCTTGAGCCCGGGAGGCTGAGGCTGCAGTGAGCCGTGATTGTGCCTGGGTGACAGAGCAAGAGCCTGCCTCTCAAAAAAAAAAAAAAAAAGCTAGTACACAGGGTGGTGAGGAGTCGTCCATGCACTGCAGGGCATAGCACTTAGTGATTGGAGAATGCAGCTTTCATTACCAAAAGCCCCAAAGAGAGCCGGCCAATGGCCTCTGCTACTAGGCTGAGTTCCTCCTGATGAGCTGGAACAAGCCCAGCACAACATCCTAACCAAGAAAGAGAGCCAGAGAGAAAGGCTTTCCATGGGCTCCAAGGCAGATGAGACAGTACAGCACTGTGACCCTCATGTGGAGGGGATTTGGAGAGTGGGCTGGGGTCAGAACTTGGAGTTCCCAGATCCCCAACCCCACTCTGGGGCCTGTCTGCCACCACACAGCAGATGGAGCCACAGGGAGATGGGGGCTGGGGTGACTGTGATGGAGTCGGAGAGCCAGAGGGAGAGGGTTTGGGTGTGGCTGTGAGTGTGAGACCCAGAGAAGGTGGTCAAGTGTCCAAAAGAGCCAGCCGGGCGTGGTGGCTCACGCCTGTAATGCCAGCACTTTGGGAGGCTAAGGCAGGCAGATTGCCAGATTGCTTGAGCCTAGGAGTTCAAGACCAGCCTGGGCAACATGGCGGAACCCCCGTCTCTACTAAAACTACAAAAATTAGCCAGGCGTGGTGGTGCGTGCCTGTAATCCCAGCTACTTGGGAGGCTGAGACAGGAGAATCTCTTGAACCCGGGAGGTGGAGGTTGCAGTGAGCCAAGATCATGCCATTGTACTCCAGCCTGGGCAACAGAGCGAGACTCCGTCTCAAAAAAGAAAAAAGAAAAAGCCCAAGTCAAAGGGGGAGAAATGGGGTCAGAGACAGCCAAGGATTGGGAGACGTGGGGCAGAGAGGGAGAGGCTGGGCCGGAGATAGACAGGAGTGGAGGTGAGGGAGCAAGGACTCACAGCAGGTGGCAGGTGGCAGGCTTGTGTTCACGCATCTGGCACCAGTGAGTGCCTGTTACATGCCAGGAGTTATTCCAGGAAGAAGGAAACTGATAAAGTGCCCTTGAGAATTTCTCAAACGGGAACTCCTGCAGTGGCAGCTGAGGGGCTCCAGCGCCTTCTCGGGTCCTTCCACCCCATCTGGCTGGGTTTCCCCATAGCCCTGGGCATGGCAGCCTCCACCCCTATGCCCGAGGGCAGATGAATGCCAGAGGGAGTGACCTGGGGCAGGTCACACGGGCAGGAAGAGGCTGCAGGCCACCTGCCCTCCTGTTAAAACAGCACCTGGCACTGGGCACAGCATGAAATGGCACTTACTTGGTAGATATTTGTGAAGAGAATGAACACACAGAATGGGGGTGAAGATGGGCTTTGGAAGCAGCAGAAGCCCATGAAACGGTACTTGGAACTGGGTTTGTCTGGCCGTGTGGGAGACAAAGGTCATCAGGCACAACCTTGCATCTCAGAAGGGGTCAAGAACCCATTGTTTTGGGTTTTTAAAAGCCTCCAATGAGACTCCACAGCAGACATGGTTTCTCAGCTTTAGAAATCGCCTCTGAGGTAGACTGTAAGGAAACTGACTCCATATGGGATTGACTATATTTTTTGCTGCACAGAAATATCCTCCAGTGCCCACTGGCAAGGAGAAAGCCCCACAGGATTTAAGGAGTAACAGTACCCACACATCGAGTCACGTGTCAGACGCTGTCCTGAGCGTTCTGTCTTCACACACCCTATGGGGTCGGGGCTGTCTTAGTCCGTTTGATGGATGAGGAAACAGGCCCAGAGGATTGAAGGGATCAGCCTGTACTCACCCTGCCGGGATGGGGCAGAGTTGGGGTGTGACACCCTGTGGCATTCATGTCCTCCCTGAGGAGGTGGGGTGGGGATGCAATGCCAAGGTGGGTTCCCTGTGGGCCACTGGGCTCAGAAGCAGCCTCCCCCTAGGCTTCCACCTGAACAACCAGCTGACCCAGACCCTCACCAGCCGCTACCGGGATAGCCGTCTGCGTGTGGACTTCGAGCGGTTCGTGTCCTGTGTGGCCCACCTCACCTGCATCTTCTGTGAGTACCACCCCGGCATGGTGGGGCATGGGGGGAAGGGGTACGGGGACTGGTGGGCACTCACCCTGCCCCTCTCTGCACAGGCCACTGCAGCCAGCACCTGGATGGGGGTGAGGGGGTCATCTGCCTGACCCACAGACAGGTGAGCCAGGTGGGAGGGACAGGGTGGCTCAGGCTCTGTCCTGCGAGCTCCCTGCCTCAAGCCACTGTCTTCCTTCTCTTCCTTAGTGGATGGAGGTGGCCACCTTCTCCTAGGATCTCCGGATGGGCGCACCTGCTGCTCAGGGCAGGGTTGCTGAGCAAGACCACCTCCCTAGGCCTTGCCTGGCATGGGTGCCACTCTCTCTGGCATCCACCTGTCTGGGGCTAGTCTCTGGCCCTCACTGCTCACGGCCGGGTGACCACTCTGGCCTGCGTACTCCTCACTCAGAAACAAGAACAGCGACAGCCCTTCTCGAGCAGATGACACGAGCTAGTCCACGTTGACAGCTTAAGACAGTGCTAGCTCTGCCCTGGCTCTCCTAGAAGGTGGAGGACAGACACAGGAGAAATAAAAAAAGATGATGCTGCAGGAATCCTTCTTAAAAATATTACATGTTTTATTATCCTGTCCCCAGAGGGTGGTTTATCCAGAAACCAAGAAAAAAAATCAATCAGAATAAACTCAAAAAAAAAAGGTAGGGGGAGCAAAACCATCAACCACCAGGCAGCCAGGCCATCAGCCCACCTCCACCTCTGGAGGGTCCCCAGAGACCCACGCCCGACGCAGACCCGGAGGAGCATCAGCAAGGGGCCCGGGCAGAGAATCGGCTATGTCTTCATTATGAGAGCAGGAGAGACGGCAGAGATATGTTGCTAGGTGAATATATATTTATATAATAAATCCGTAAGTTAATAAAGTAAATAGTAATTCTCTGAAAGTTTTTAATTCTTTCTTTTTTATAGTTTTTTTGTTTTTGTGATTTTTTTTTTTTTTGGTTTTTGTTGTTTTGTGTTTTTTTTCCTTTTTTTTTTTTGGTTCTTAGAAAATCTGAGACACGTGAGGCCAGACAAAGCAAGGCCGGGGCTGGTGGGATGGGGTGCGGTTCAGGGGGGCCCGGTCTGCCAACTCAGCTCCTCTGCTGCAAAAGCGGGGTGCTTGTTGGGGCCATCTCCTGGCAATGGCAAGTGAGTCTGGAGCAGAGAGGGGAGAGGGGCTGGGTGGGTCCCCAGCCGTCAGGTGGTGGTGGCGCCCTCTGCTGGCCCCTCGCATGGCCCAGGCAGTTCCTGGACAAGGCACATGGGGCTTTGGCCTGGATTGGGGAGGCCTTGAAGGGACCTCAGAGCAAAGGAAGAGACCTGGGTGTGGTGAGGCATCCCAGGGCATGGAAGGGACCGGTTGTGCTGTGGGAATCCACTGGCCCCTCCTTGGTTAAAAAAGCACAACACATCATACATATTTACCAGACCAGAAGCGCTGGCCCCAAGTCTCCCCAACCTGGTCGGGGGAACCTCCTGGCCAACCCACAAAGAGAGAGAGGAGAGAGCCTGCCCCAGCCCCTCCCTGCCCACCCACCCACCCCGGAGGACTGCAGAGAGTGCTTTGCATAGATACAGAGTGGAGGAATGGGACTGTGGGGCTGCCCAGGCCCCTCCTGGAGGCCGTCGGGGGTGTTGGGTCAGGTCTCTGGGGCCTCACAGGTCGCTCTCGCCATACAAGGCCGTGGAGAAGGACTTGTAGTCGAGGGCACCGGGCACGGCGTCAGGGCCCTGGTATGGCGCCATGCGGGCGATGCAGTACTCGGCCTGGTCGGGGGGCAGCTCTCTCCGCAGCTCCTCAGCTGTGATGAAGTTCTGGGGCAGGCAGGATGGGACTCTGAGCCATCCCCACCCACACACTGGCCCCCTCAGCCCCTCCCACTGCAGGGACCCCTCTCGCCAGCCCCCATGCACCTCGTAGGGGTCTCGCTCACCTTGTCCCCTGCTAAGACCTTGAAGGAAGCGATGACCTGGTCAGCCGTGTCCGTGTCGGTGGTCTCCCGCGACATGAAGTCGATGAAGGCTTGGAAGGTCACAAGGCCGCTATGGTTGGGGTCGACCAGGCTCATGATGCGGTTGAACTCGGCCTCACCCTGCAAGGAGAGGGTGGGGTGGGGGACACCCGACATTTAGTGGGGCAGGGGCAGCCAGGCCCACACTGGTGGGGTCTCCAGGGAAACAGCCGAGAGAGTAGGGCCCAACCCACGTGTGCGTGCGCCCTGTTCCCCGCCTGCTCCAGCAGCCTTGGCCCCGGGCAGAGCCTGCCACTGCTCCAGCTGACCCAGGCCTCCAAGCCCCCAGTGCCCCAGGCCGGGAAGCAGGGCCTCTCTGCACCCTCCCCTCTCGTGGTCTCCCACAGCAGGGAACTGGGGTCTACTGCCCTCAGCCCAGGCTCACGAGTAAGCTCTGGAGGATGGGGAAGAAAGAGAGAAAGAGAAAGAAAAAGGGGAGAGAGTGGGAGAGCTGCCCCCTCTTTCTGGAGACTTCTAGGGAAGAAGGGGGGCTCGGGAAGTCATCGGAGGGACCCCACCCCGGCAGATGCAGCAGAGGAAGAGGCAGGCACGGCTGCGCTGCTCGGGCGGAGGAGTGTCCCCGAGGACGAGGAAGCTCTGGAGGCGGTGAGGGGGAGAGGTGGGGGGGAGGAGGAGGAGGAGGAGGAGGAGGAGGAGGAGGAGGAGCGGGTGGCTGGGGAGACAGAGCTGCATACCAGGCTGTATCCTGTGGAGATAAGCAGAGCCCTGAAGTCATCGGAGTCCATGCTGCCTGTCTGCTTCTGCTCCGAGGACGCAGGCATAGCAGAGGAGGCCGGGCCCAGAGTAGGCAAGAGGGGCCGCCCCATGTGCACAGCAGGCAGACAGGACAGTGGCGGGGAGCAGGGAGACAGCGGCCCCAAGAGACCAGGTAAAAGGGAAGGGGTCCAGGGAGATGTGGGCAGGGAGGCAAGAGAGCCATGAGATGGCACACAGGATGGCAGGGGTGGGATGGCGAGGGGAGAAAGAGAGAAGGAGAGAGAGAGAGAGAGCAGTTAATGCCATGGTCCGCTGGGGCCCAGGGTGCAGTACCTGCCGGTCGTTCTCCACGTCGTAGCCCAGGCTGATGAGGCAGGCCTTGAACTCCTCGGGCCCCAGCGCCCCGCCATGATCCTGCCGGGGCCATCCGAAGGCAGGTGTGCGGGAGGGGCGGCGTGGAGACCAGGATGAGGGATCGGGGTCACATGCAGAGGGCAGGGGGAAGGGACACGTAGGGGAGGGAAACACAGAGTTAGAGGCAACATGGACAAGGAGATGGCCAGGGACACGTGGGGTCGGGGGCGGCACGGGCCCCTTTCATCCTTTCCCCAACCTCGGAAGCTCAAAGGAAGGCAGAGGCCTCCCCGACCTCTCTGCCCACAGCAGGGGTGGCAGCTGGATGCTACAGAACTGAGGACAAGTCCCAGGACTGGTGGAGGGTCGGGGGGGGGGTTCTCCTTGCCTTTGGGATTTGGAGTGGGACAGAGGGGACTGTATCCTGTCCTGGGGGCGCCAGGTGCAGAGCTGAGGCTGCACACTTCTCAGTCCGTCAGCCCGGCAGGGGTGGGCTGGGGATGGCAGCAAACTCTGGCGCTCAGGGCCCCTCTGATGAGGCTGCCGGACCAAATCTGAATTCTAAAAGCACTGTGCGGGGTGTCTGTGTCCAGGTTCACAGACCGGGTCGCAAAGCCTGGGTGTGCTGAGACTTCATCTGCCCTGGGGGTGGTGAGGATGCCACCCCAGAAGGCAGGACTTGGGACCTCCGGCCCCCTGCCTGTGCGTGTGAAGTGGCCCAGGCTGGGGTCTTGGTGCCGCACACCTACACCCTGACAGTGGCAGGGCCCTGCTGGCCCTGGGAGTGGCGGCCGACGCTCAGCAACTGTGATGGGAATGGACGAACAGATGCAGAGACGAAGGTGTGGGCTGGTACGGCAACGGCGGGAGGGGAGAGGCCGAGGAGGTGGCAGGCTGCTCACCTTGTCGAAGTGGTTGAAGGACGCCCGGAACTCCTGCATCTGCTCCTGGCTGATGCCCTTGGCGTCGCGGGTGAGGATCTGGTTCTCCACCTCGTTGATGGTGCGGGCAATGGTGGTGAGCAGCTGCTCCCAGCCCACGCGGATGTGCTGCGGAAAGACGGGGGCGTGATCGTGGGCCGGGTGCTGTGAACTGTCCTCACCGTGGTTCACACGTGGAGGACTGTGAACTGTCCTCCCGCCCTGGGGAAAGCCCCTGCTCTCCTGTACACCTCACAGGGGACACGGGCCATGGTGCCTCCCTGCTGCCTCTGCCAATGTCTGTCTCCACAGTAAGTGTGTTTCCCAGCTACAGGGGCAGCAGAAGGGCAAGGACCCATGAATCTTGTGCCGGGATCCCTGTGGAGACTGTTTGGACAAACTCTGGTCAGTGTCTCACCACTGGCTCTCAGGGGAAAAAAACAAAAAAGCCAACTCTGGTTTGAAGCATCTGTGGACCTGTATGGGTTGGATCAAGAGTGTCCAGTCTTTTGGTTTCTCAAGCTACCAATATGACGGCGACCAGCTTGTAATGTCCCCGGAGTGTTAGCCAGTGGGAGCTGCTGCCCTGACCCGGCACCCGCTGGCTGGCTCTGGCCCTGAGCAAGGCTGATACTGCTAAGGCCACAGGGCAAACGGTGCCCTCTGTGGGCCCCTAGAACAGCTTGTCCTGTGAGGGGCATTGTCATGGTGATGAGAGCAGTGCTAGGGAAAGTGTAATTTTTAAAAATGTCTAAACATTTTGATCTAGTCTTTTCAATCTTTTTTTTTTTTTTTTTTGAGACAGAGTCTGGCTCTGTCACCCAGACCGAAGTGTGGTGGCATGACCTCGGCTCACCTCAACCTCTGCCTCCCTGGCTCAAGCAATCTGCCCACCTCAACCTCCTGGGGAGCTGGGACTATAGGCATGCACCACCATGCCTGGCTAATATTTTCATTTTTTGTAGAGACAGGGTCTTGCTATGTTGCCCAGGCTGGTCTTGAACTCCTGGGCTCAAGCCATCCTCCCACTTGGCCTCCCAAAGTGCTGGTCTCTTCAATAATTTTTAAACAGAGTGAAAAACAACAGACAGCAGACAGCTATCTTCTCACTGGCCCGAACCATTTCCAGTGAGGAAGCCGGCCATGCTGGTGGAAAGGCCAGCGGGCGGGGCAGCCGCGCACCTCCATGGTATAGTTGGTGTGCTTGTTGTCGAAGATGAGGGCCTCCTGGATGAGCTGGTGCTGCTGCTCCAGCAGGTCCAGGTTGGGCTTGTAGTCCACGATGCTGCGTTCATACTGCTTCAGGTGGCTCAGCTGGTCCTCCAGGGTCCCGTTCATCTCAATGGAGATGCGCCCGATCTCCTACGGGGGTGGGTGCAGGCGGTGGGGTGAGGCTGGTGGGCCTGCCCCCACTGACCACCTGGAGGAGCCCACTCGCGCTGCTGGCCTGCATCTTCCCCGGGGCCCCTTTGGCCTGGGGCCTTGGCCCATGGGTCCCTGGGAGGGAAGGCCCACTGCTCACAACTGTCCCCTCCGGTCCTGCCCTCTCATGTTAAAGCAGCTATGACAATGACAGGGAGGTTTTCTCTGCCAAGCGCTCCCTGTGCCCAACTTCATTTTACCCTTGACCTCTCTGTGAGGCCAGGGCTGTGGCAGGCCCTGACTGCAGAGGTAGAAACCGAGGCTCACGGAGGACAGCTCAGTGCTGTTAGAGGCAGAGTTGGGATCTGAACCCTGGCCTGGCTGCAGCTCCTGACCTCGGGCACTCCATGTCTCGGCACCCACAAGTCCACATGCTGCGTGGCTGGCATGAACCTCAGGGCTGACCTGCCTGGCACCCGGACCCCCTCTCAGGCTTGCTGGGTTTAAACGAGGTTGCCTGCTGCCAGCCTGGTTGCCTGGTATGTAGTGAGTGCTCAGTGAGTGGTGGTCAGAACTGCTGTAAGAATGACAGCACTCATGTGGCTGGTTAGTTGGTGCAAAAAGCATTTGTTGAAGTAATAAGGTAACTGTTTTCATCCCCATTTTAGAGCTGGGAGGACAGGATCAGAGGTTCAATAGTGCCTGAGTCTCACAATCATCAGACCAGGGCATTCAGGGATCAAACCCACCTCCCATAGGTAGCCCACTAGAGACCACAGGGTCTCGCTGTCAGGCTGAAGTGCAGTGGCATGATCGTAGCTCACGGCAGCCTCGACCTCCTTGGGCTGCGCACCATCATGCCCAGCTAATTTTTGTATTTTTTGTAGAGTTGGGGTCTCACTATGTTGCCCAGGCTGGTCTCGAACTCCTGGGCTCAAGCGATCCGCCCGCCTCAGCCTCCCCAGGTGCCGGGATTCCAGGCGCAAGCTCTGTGGACTCTCCTAACCCCGCAGGGTGATCACGGCCCCTGGGTGGTGAGAATTGGGACCTGCTCTGCCAGGCGCCTCAGTCTGCAGGCCCTGGGCTGGCCGGGGACCCCCTCACTACGGGAGCTCTCTTGGAACCTTCTCAGCTCTGTGGGGCTCAGCCGTGCCTCACCTCCATCTTGGTCTGGATCCAGGGCCCCACAACATTGGCCTGGCTGGCGAACTGGCGGCGCAGGTGCTCGTTGGACTGCTGCTTGCTCTGCTCCTCCAGGAGGGCATGGTCCCGTTTTGGCACCAGCTGCTGCACCTGGCAGAGGAGACGCGGTGTGGGAGCGGTCAGGGAGGTGGCCCCCAGCCCCGCCGTCCTGCCCCAGCCCCTACGGATGGCCCCGGCCCACCTTCTCCCACTTGGAGTTGATGATTTGCGGGGTGACGGTGGTGTAGGGGTTGCTGCCCGACAGCTTGATGTGGTTGCTCTCAGCGATCCTCTGGGCCTCCTTGTGGATGGCCAGGATGGCCTCGCGCTCCCTATCGGCGTCCGGCAGGGTGGACTTGAACTGGTCATGGGCTGAGATCAGGCCCTAGGGGAGGAGCTGGAGTGAGGGGGCGGCCCAGCCCCACAGAGGCTCTTGGGAAGATGGGGGGCCGGGGGGTGCGAACCTCAATCTCCTCGATGGTATGGACGATGAACATGTCCTGGAGGTCCTCCATGGCGCTCTCCATCCAGTTGTTGAAGGGGGCCGCGCGCTTGGCGTATTCCAGGTGCAGCTGGTCGATGGCCTCCAGCTGCTTCTCTGTTTTCTAGTGTGTGGGAGGGAAGGGGGCAGGGACAGAGGGAAGGCAGGTCAGTATGTGAGCAGGAGGGGTGGGGAGGGGTCCAGAGGGCCCTGAGGAGTCAGAGAACATCCTCTCCGTGGGAGGTGGGGGGAGCTCACAGGTCTGGACACTATCCACACCACCAGCCCCGGGGCAGCAGGGGCACAGAGCTCCGTGGGTGATGTCACCCCCTCCTCACCTCCAGGGCTTCCCTGCGACTATGTGTCAGAGAGCCGAGGGCGTCCCACTGGTCACAGATCTTCTGGCACCGGGTGTTGACATTGTGGGAGTCGTAGTAATCCAGCTCGCTGCGGGCCGGGCAGAGAGCAATGAGACTCGGCAAGGGCAAGTGGCTAGATGGATTGGACCCATCTACCCCCAAGGTTCCCAGGCCAGGGTGTTGGGGCAGTCAACATTCCAGGATATCAGCAACCAATCACTAATTGGTCAATCAAATCACAGCTTGGTTCTGGCCCATGGGACCCCCAGGGTAGAAGGGAAGGGGTGATAACAGAGCTGGTTAACAGGTGATAACCAGGGGTGAGAAGGGAAGCGGCTTCCTCCTGCTCACCCATCCCTGACTCATTCTGCCACTATCAGCTAAGAGTGTGGCCCTTCAACCAGGCCTTGGGGCCTGAGGAGGGGTAGGGGGCAGGGAACGACTCTGGGGAGGAACAGGACATGGGGAGCAGGCGAGCCAGCCACAGACAGCGGACAGGGGCTGAGGCTGTGCTCCACAGTAGGGCTGGGGGCCTGGGCTCCATTCCCATCTCAACCACTCCCTTGCTGTGTGACCCTGGGCAAACCTCTTGGCCTCTCTGTGCCTCGGTTCCCTCAGTTACACAGTTGCTGTGGGGATTAAATGAGCTGGTACACATAAAGCCCTGAGAGCTCAGTGAGTTTTTGCTATCGCCATTAATCAGTGCTCAGCAGGGCTGCCCATCCGGCTCATCCTGGACGGTCCACAGGCCTCTGTAATTCCCCCTCAGCAGAAAAGACAGGACCCGGACAGCCCTCCCTTCCGTTCCTTCAGGGCTACCGTCCAGAGAGCTGCTTCGGGGACCGCCTGTTCCTGAGCAGAGTAATGGGTTTCACATAGCTTTGCCCAGGGCCTGAGAAGGGGGCAAGCCTAGGGTTTATTTCAAGTCTGTTTCCTACCAGCTTCCAGGGGCTCTTCCGTCACTGGGGAAGCTGCCTGTGTCCCACCCCCACACCCCCGAGGGTGCTGCATCTGTGACCTTGCTCTCCTTGGCCTGGACGTGGTGGTGGCAGGACCCCTGGAGTGCCCCAACTGTGCCAAATGCTGTGATGGCCCCACGGGACTCTTGCCTCTGGCTGAGCCAATGGGGAACCCTCAAAGCACCCGGACAGTAGTGGGTAGTGAGTCGGGGAGGAAACCAGCTCTGCCCAGCATGGGGCTCCACTGGGGCATCAGGGCTGGGCCTTGGACTCAGGAATAAACGGGCCTTGGACTCATAGGAATAAGCAGACCTTTGGGGGTGACTGTGGTGGGGTGGGGGTGTCGGTGGAAAGAGCAGTTATAGCCAAGGATCCTATTTTTGAGCAGATGGCTATTTTGGGAGCCCTGCTGCCCCTCGAGGGCCTGTGGATTTTCCATGAAGTAATGGCCTGGGCCTCCTGCTGCCTGGGCCCGCCCTGCTGCTGGCCGCTGCACTGGTGGAATAAGGCCCCATTCACCAGCGCGACCCTCAGCGTACTAATTGTGTACACAAGTTTATCTGACTGGGTGGGGAGGGGAAGGAGCCCGGCTGCCTGGAAGCTCTTACAATAAGTGTATTCTGAGCAAGAAAGGGAAGGGGCCGAGCAGAACAATAGGCTCACTGTGCAGCCTGGTTCCCTCAGGGACCTATGGCTGGGAGCAACGGAGGCTGGGGCCCATCCCATCAGGGGACCAGGGCCTACTTGGGGTGGCCAGGAGAGGTGACACCCCCAGGGACCCCTAAAGCCTGAAGAATCAAGACAAGGGGCCAGACACCTCCCTCCTGCTAGAGAATCCAAATCCTTCAGGTGTCCCACCTGGGGCTGAGACAGGATGGGCAAAAGGCCTCATCCCATAAGGCCCTTCCCTGGCTTCTGGAAGGAGGTGCAGTTGGGGCACTGGGGACCCTATTCCAGGCCTTGAGGCAGGCTGGGCCTCGGCGTGCTGCCGCCACCAGTCTGGGCAGGCTGTGGTGAGAGCCAGGTGATGATAGTGTCCTGAGCCCGCACGTACTTGAGCTCCTGGGCAATGGCGGCGATCTGCTCCACGCGGTCCTGGTGCGCAGCCAGGTCGCTCTCGAAGGCCTCGTGCTTGCGAATGAGGGCTTTGATGTCCGATAGTGTGGCCGTCTCGTAGTCCCGGTGCTTCAGCATGGCTTCCTTCCCTGGTAGGAGCAGAGAGACGCTTAGACCACAGCACGGCAGCTGTGGGGCAGGAGTCTGGAGGGGCTGTCCAAGCAGAGGGAGGGAAAGAGAGACTGTGGACCCCACATCCTTCCATGCCAATGACAGTGGCATGGAAACTTCCAGAATCTTCTTCCGTACCCTCCAGGGATCTCTAAGCCCAACTGTAACCTGGATGGACCTGGATGGACACTTCAGGGTTGCTCAGCCTGAGAGAGAGATTCCATCTCAACCTGTGTGTCCTAAACTTAGCAACTTTTGTTAGTAGGAAACCATACAAATCGGGCCGTGGTAGCACGGCTTAGAAAGGTAGCACCTGTTTCTGGAGGGCTTTGATCCGGAGAAGCACCCGGGGTCAAAGCCCATGTCCCAGCAGGCTTGGGGAAGGGGAAGCATCAGAGCCAGCTTCTTCTAGGACCCTGACCCTGCACCCGCACAGGTGGTGGTCCTCTCCACGTCTAAGTGCCCCACGCTGTCCTAAGGTGTCCTGTGTGCATTGGGGCGGGCCCACCATCAGGCCCTTTAAAGGAAAGGAGGAACGCTGTTATTAGTCCCTGATCCTGGCTAATTACACATCCCAGAACCAAAGCTCAAGGAAGCCCTGCAAGCAAGTGAAGGTCTTTAGGGAACCGCAGGGAAAATGCCAGCCTGGGAAGGTGGCTGCACCCCAGCTCCTACAGGGGCCCTGCCTCAGGCACACCACCTTGGGCTTCCCCCAAGTGGTAGCGGAGATCCCCTCAGCTCTGTCCCAGCACCTGACAGCTGCCCGCCCAGTGCAGCCACCGAGGCCTCTCTGGGCCTGTGCCTTCATCTGTAAAATGGGGCCAGCCCCAGTACCTGTGTGGCATGGAACTATTCTCAAGTTTCAGTGAGGTGGTGTTCGAGCACAGCAGGCATGGAGCCAGTACCAGCCTCACCTCAGCCTCTCCCAGTCTCAACTGTCAGGCACCTACCAGACTCCCCACAGGATCGGCTCTGGCACTGATGGCCAAGAAGTGGGAGGCCTGGGAGACTCTGGCTCCACCGGCCCTGCTGCGCAGCCCTGGGGCAGGAGGCTCAGCCACAAGGCGGCCTTGCAATTCCCTTCTCCAACTGCTTTCTCCCAGGGGCAGGAACCAGAAACAGCAGGTGACATCTCCCTCTGCCTCCGCAGAGTCCTGGCAAGGGTGCACCGAGAGGATGTGGGCAGCGGACCATTGCCACAGCTATCTGGGATCCAGGCCAAGGGACAACTGGAGTGGGGACAAGGGGTCGTTCGGGGTTGGTCGTATTCCCAGGAAATCAAGTCCCTCAGAGAAGCATCCACGACGACCCTCCCGCTGCGGGCTGTGGGGGATGGTGAGGGGTGTGGAGTGAAGGTGGCCCACCCACCCCAGGGCGGAGGAGGCCGCTACGACCAGACCCTGGGGTGTGGAGGGCCTGCCTGTCCTGTTTCACGTAACTGCTACTTGAGAGGACAGAGGCTCTGAGTCTTGGGAATTAGTAGGCCAGCCTGCCTGGGGGCTCTGGCAGACGCCATGGGCAGACCCGCGTGGATGCCCAGTCAGGTAGGGGTGGGGCAGGGACGTGTGGAGGCCGCTGAACCAGCTGGGCCCTGGCCGGAGACTGAGCTGGCTTCTAAACACCTCAGGTGAAGGCTGCCCCAGAGCCCTTCCCAGGGGAGGAATGCCAGTGGGGCCACCACACCCAGCCCCTTGGCCTCAGGAAACCATCTGCAGGGCCTCATGGAGCCCTGTAGAGGGACTGAAGAGCTGATGGGTGGGCAGAAAGACCCCCAGAAGGTTCAGCCACAGGGCGACGCCCAGGCCTCCATGGATAAGGACGGCTGGAGCCACCTGAGCTGTCTGTTGAACGAATGAGTGAATCCGGGAATGGATGGAGGCCACCAACCACACAAGATGGCATCGGTGCTAACACGCTCTCCTCACATGGGTGCCTTTCTGCCAGGCAAGAGGGAAGTGCGGCACCCGGCCTGGCCAGGCCCTTCCTCCCTCACTATCCACTCTCTCACTCGCACTCTTTCCTGGTAGCAAAGGGGCTGGGCTGCTCTGAGGCTGGCAGCTGCCGCGGGAATGGCGAGCTGAGCTCATGTGAGGAGGGCACAAGCTGGGCCGTGGCCAGGGCTGCAGGCCGTGTGGAGCTGCACACTCGCATGCGGGCCAGGGTGGGGAGGGGTGAGAAAATGCACTCAGGAATGCAAGGAAGGGCTCAGCTGGGCGGAGTGGCGGCCGGAGGGCCAGGGAGACTGTGTTGGGAAGGTGGTGGCCAGAGTGGGAGAGGAGTCCTGTGAGTGGCTCTTGTGGCTCTCCCAGGCACTGGCAGCTTTCTGAAGGCTTCCAGACCCCTGGGATCTGAAATCTCAACCTTGGCATGACCCAAAAGAGGGCCAGGGACGTGATGAAATCCCACATCTGGAGCCAACGGCCAGGCAGCTGCAGGGCTGCCGAGAACAGAAAGCACAGTGGCGCTCCTGCAGGGGGAGCCAGGCCCGGGAAGGAGGCTCTGGGAAGGGATGGGAGGTGGGAGGAGCTCACAGGTGGGCCATGCTGAAGGGTGGGCCGAAGGCAGTGGGTGAGCACTGTCTGAGGGTGAGCACTGGCTGTGGTCCGGCAGCAGGCCCAGGAGGCAGGCCCTCCTCTAGCCTGAGGGACGTGCCAGTGAACATGGGCTCCCCAGCCTTCCGTCCACGCTCACAGAGGTGTGGGAGAGGGAAGCCGACTCTGAACACAGGGTGCGGGGGATGGAAGAGGCCTGCCCCACACACTCGCCCTGGATGGGGAAGACACGCAGAGGGGACAAACAGATGGGTGTAAGGTCACTTCCCTGAAGTGCTGGAGGGGGCTTGGCTGTGTTCCTGGATGACTGACAGGGTCCCACCTCTGAGGCGAGGGCAGACTGGGCAACAAAGAGGACCTGGCCCCTGAATGGTCCCTGCTTTCTGGGGCTGAAGGAATCCAAAGCAGCATTTCTTTCCTTTTTTTTTGAGACAGGGTCTTGCTCTGTCACCCAGGCTGGAGTGCAGTGGTACAATCACGGCTCACTGCAGCCTTGACCTCCCTGGCTCAATCAATCCTCCCACCTCAGCCTCCAAAGTAGCTGGGACCACAGGTGTGCACCACTATGCCTGGCTAATTTTATTATTCTAAAATTTTTTTGTATAGGCAGGGTCTCGCTATGTTGCCCAGGCTGGTCTCAAACTCTTGGGCTCAAGTGATCCTCCTGCCTTGGCCTGCCAAAGTGCTGGGATTACAGGTGTGAGCCACTGAACCTGGCTCTAAAGCAGCATTTCTGACACACACACATGCTCCCAAGCAGCAAGAAAGGGCACCTGAGAAACAGACCCAACGTGGCAGGGGGCTGTGTGTGCACACCCATGCATGCCTGAGAGACAGGAGGGGAGCACGGGAGCGGGGCTGGGCAGAGTGGGGCAGAGCTGGGCCGTACCGTCAGTCCAGGCCTCGTGGATGGAGGCCTTCTGCCGGAACTTCTCTGCCAGGTGGTCGAGCCGCTCCAGCCTGCGGATCTCATTCAGCAGCCACTCCTCGTAGCCCTTCTCAGCCTGCTCCAAGTGCTGCCAGCCATTGTTGATGTCCTGGGGCAGGGCAGGAGCAGGCAGGGCTATCACAAGGAAGTGGAGGCACCCAGGGGGATGTCTCCAAGGGATGCTGATGGGAAGGTGGCAGAACTTGGCTGGGGTCATGTCTGTGTCATGCTTTGCTATTATACCTGGATGCCTACACAGGGCCCCCCAGCACTCAGCAGGTACAATCAATTCTGGATTAACAAAATGAATGCGTGAACGGGTGAGTGCATGAATGAATGGATGAATACCATAGATGGGGAGGTGGTACCGTCCAGGGCGCACTGCCCCTCCGCTGATGAAGGGCCTCAAGCACATGGCGGTCATGCCATCATGGCAGACCACGGCTCCAAATTCACACCACTCCACACCCACACAACCCGTGGCAAGGATTTGGGATGCGTATAAAACCCTGGGTGTAAAATACAGTGAGTGAGGGCCAAAGGGGAGCACAATGCCGAGTGAAGTGCACCCCTCCCCGACCACTGCATCCGAAAGGCCATGCCATGTCCCACAGGACATCAACAACTTAGGAAAGATTACGCTGGCCAAACTGCCCACAGGCAGTTCTAGGGCTGCCTCTGCCCCTCACAGCTGCTCCCATGTGAATCCTGGTGCTCACCGAGACCATCTTGCCCTCGGAGGGCATGAAGGCGGGCCGGTTGCTGAGGCGCAGCTTGGTCTGCAGCGTGTTGAAGTTGATCTCCAGCTGGCACTTCTCCTGCACCTTGGGCGGCTTGTGCACACGCCGGTAGTCGCGGAAGTCCTCCAGCTTCTGCTGCATCTCCTGGATAGTCTTTTGGGGCACACGGTCCTCCAGCCAGGGGATGGTGCGCCGGATCCACTCCAGGAGCTGTGGGCCACAGAAGCCAGCGTGGCCTTTGTGGGGGACCCTCAGAGTGCTGACGGGCTGCCCCCCAGCTTATGGGCACATGGGATCTGGATCTTTGAGGGCCCCACCTTAGGGGGTTACCCCTGCTCCCCAGCCCAACTTCTCCACGATTCCTGCTAGAACCCCCAACCTGGAACTCTGGGAGCGTGGGCTCCCTCCCTGTCCCTGCATCACTGTACTGTTCTCTTGTTACTTCCTGTTCCTGCCTGTGCTTTTCTTTTTAAAGACAGGTTCACGCTTTGTCACCCAGGCTGGAGTGAAGTGGCATGATCATAGCAACCTCCCGGGCTGAAGCCATCCTTCCACCTCAGTCTCCCAAGTAGTTGGGACTACAGGTGCCTACCTCCGAGCCTGGCTGATTTTTATTTTAAGTTTTTATAGAGAAGGGGGTCTCAGTATACTGCCCAGGCTGGTCTTGAGCTCCTGAACTTCAAGCAATCCCACTTTAGCCTCCCAAAGTGGTGGGATGACAGGGGTGAGCCACCATGCCTGGCCCATGCCTTTGCTCTTAGTCTTTTCCCTCAGGTCTAAGAGGGGAAACCTCCACTCCCATGCCCCCGCCAAAAAGGTCCCTTTCCATGCTGTCACATGCCCCACTGCCGCTGTCTTCACTGAGCTCCATGCTGAGAGCCTGACTGCTTCTGGGCTCACTAAGTGCCTCAAGGGCAAGGCCGACAAGCCCACCTGGCTCAGTCTGGCTAGGCCAGTATGTGCACTGGGCCTGGGACATAAATTAGAAAATAAAATTGAAAAAGAAACAAACATATTCTTTTAGGAACTACTCAGATCTTTAATGGAGTGAGAAAGGGTAACAAACAGTTGGACATTCTAAAACAATTCTAGGCCAGGCACGCTGGTTCACACCTGTAATCCCAGCACTTTGGGAGGCTGAGGTGAGTGGATCACCTGAGGTCAGGAGTTCAAGATCAGCCTGACCAACATGGTGAAACCCCATCTCTACTAAAAAAAATACAAAAATTAGCTGGGCGTGGTGGTGCGCGCCTGTAATCCCAGCTACTTGGGAGGCTGAGGCAGGAGAACTGCTTGAACCTGGGAGGCAGAGGTTGCAGTGAGCCAAGGTCGTGCCATTGCACTCCAGCCTGGGTGACAAGAGTGAAACTCCATCTCAAAAAAATAATAAAACAATTCTAGAAGTACAAAATCAGTTATCTGCCAGCACGGACAAGCTGGAGAAGTGGTTCCCAAATGCCAACTTCTGGCAAAGTGAGAAATTCAAAGACAGAAATACCTCTGTGTGGATACATTGTGAGGCGTGCTGCCAGCTGCCCTTTCTTGGCAATGGCTGGGGTTCTAAGAATAACCTTTTTACCTTATCTTGGTGTTAGAAGTGCTGGTGGTAACAGATGGTAGTGTTTCTTTTTAAAACATCCGTAACTTGGCAAAATAAAAAGCTGGCCCTCTTAGGTTGGACATCCAATAGTTTTTCAAATTTTCCTGGTCTATGAGATTGCAAAATCTGGGAACCACTGGTTCTAGATGAGCAGTCAAACCACTGCTCTTTGGGAAATTTTATTTTATTTTATTTTTATTTTAATGGAGTCTTGCTCTGTCGCTAGGCTAGAGTACAGTGGCGCAATCTTGGCTCACTGCAACCTCTGCCTCCCAGGCTCAAGCGATCCTCCTGCCTCAGCCTCCCAAGTAGCTGGGACTACAGGTGTGTGCCACAACACCCGGCTAATTTTTGTATTTTCAGTAGAGACAAGGTTTCACCATGTTGGCCAGGCTGGTTTTGAACTCCAGACCTCAAGTGATC
Organism: Homo sapiens; assembly: GCF_000001405.40. NCBI lineage: Eukaryota > Metazoa > Chordata > Mammalia > Primates > Hominidae > Homo > Homo sapiens. The sequence goes on along the minus strand of NW_014040929.1, from coordinate 124,908 downwards.
CACCTGCCTTGGCCTCCCAAAATGCTGCGATTACAGGTGTGAGCCACTGCGCCCAGCCTACGTTTATTTTTTAAATATGGAGATTTCAAAAATGAAGAGCCTCCAGAAGAGTTGTACTAACCACCCTTATTTCCAACTGAAGCATTGGGTTTGGACTCTAGAGCAGGGCTGCCTGGGTGAAGCCCAGCTCTCTGTCCCACTAGTCATGTAACAGCAGGCACGTGCCTGACCCTCCCTGGGCCTCAGTTTCCTCACTTGGAAAGGAGGATAATCCGAGTTCCCGTCTTGCTGGGCTGCTCGTTAAGCACCTGCACAGGGCCTGCTATCCTATTGGTTCCCAGGCCCCTCTCCATCCTTCTGAATCACTCTCTCCAGGGCCAGGGCACGGGAAGAGGGGCTTTCACAAAGCTCCCCAGGTGATTCTAAAGCACTGAGGTGCCCAGGAAACACTGTCCCTGAGCATCTCTGTAGGAACCCAAGCTCGGGAGCCCAGGGGCTGGCTGGCAAGGTGGCTGCCGGTCTGACCCTTAGCCTTGTGGAAGCAAACGGAGAGGTCGTGTACACACCAGCTGGCTAAATGCCATGGTCTGTGACCACGCAGCCTTTTCTAGGTCATCTCGCTGCCACACCTGCTTTCCCCCTGCAAGAGTCACAGTGACCTCTGGCTGAGGATAATGAGGTGGCCCTGACTTTCACTGGGGGAACACTCACGTCGCTGGCCAGCTTCTCGTAGTCCTCCATCAGGTGCTCGTTCTCTTGGTTGACAGCCAGCACCTTACAGATCCGGTTGGCGGCAGTTTCAGCCTGGAGGGGAGCACACAGTCAGGGCTGCCTGGGGGCTGGCCACCCTCCCTCCTGACGGGCACGTCCCTTGAAAGCAGCTGGTCCATGGCCCACGGAACTCCTCACAGAGGGGAAGGAGAGGAAGCACAGCTCCAGTGAGATGGTGCCCTGTCCCAATAGGCCTTGTTGGCATCCTCACTGCTGACTGCAAAATGCCCCTGGGTCCAGAAAGCCCAGACCCTGGAGGCACCGAGGAGGGTTGGGGAGCCCTCCCACTGCTGCTCGCAAACCCTCTAGTGCCCCACACAGAGGAGGGTGAGGCTGGACGGGTCGGCTGCGTTGGACCTAAGACTGCGGAGGAGTCTCTCCCGGTGGGAAGGTGAAAGGATGGGAAGCCGAGAGCTGGAGAGCTGGGGGCAACAGAGCAGGGGCGCCCGGGTCCCGGAGGAGCCTAGTGGTCCGTGCACAGGAGCACACTCAGGCCTGTCCACTCTCCTGCCTTGGAGGCAATGTTAATAGGAGCTCCAGAGGACAGAAGTCACCATCCGTGGGGCAGAAAAGTGCTGGGGCTTTGGAGGGTGAGAGTGGTGGACATAGTCCCTGGGCCTGAACTACAGGAGAGCGTCCTGCCCTGTCCTGCTAGGGGGCAGTGAACAGTGTAGAGGAGGCAGGGGGTGCACACGGGGAGAGAGAGACCAGGTACCTTTCAGGAAGCACAGAAAGGGTCCAAGAGGAGGAGTTGAAACGGCAACAGAACAGGAACAGAAAGAGTGAGGAGGGTCTACAGAGTGATGGGGAAGGAAAATGGAGAGGCTTGGCCAACGGCTCAGAGCCAGTGCTGCAGGCAGCGACGCCCAGCCTCTCCCCTCCACACATGGCACCTGGAGACAGGCGGGGAGGCGGCAGCCGGTGCTCGTGTGAGCGCACACACGCACGTGCACACCCCGCGCCATGCTGCGGGACACACACCCAGGGCCCCAGGCGGTGCTCCTCAGAGATGAGGTCCAAGAGGTTCCTCAGCCAATGAACATGGGCCCCAGGCCAGTGTGGAAAACACAGCCAGGGCTGCAGCTTGTGGGGGTCACAGAGGTCAGTCCCTGACTCCTAACTTGGCAGAGACAACTGGCACCCGAAACTCAAGTCCTCTCTGTGAGCACGGGGCTGCCGCAAGGCAAGGGAATCATGTTTCACCGCTGAGTTCCCGCATCCAGCTTGGGGCTCAGTGCACTGGCGGTGTTCAGGGTTGCTGAATGAGTGAGTGAATAAAGGAACGAGGCGGGAACGCTTCGGTGACTAGAAATAAATGATCTCAGGACAGAATGGGCACACTGGCGCTAGACCTGGGGTTCACTCTGCGTTTATAAAACATGAACCCCAGAGAGCACTCTTGCAAGAGCTTGGACTGGGTCTCTGGGGAAACGAGGCAGCAGGAGCAGCACCACGGGGCTGTCCTGAGGAGCACACAGGGACCCAGCACTTTCCTTTCTGACCAGCCAGCGCCCTGCAGCCGGGCCTCCACTACCCCCTCAGAGAGGGGCCAGTGACAAGCCTCCAGGCCCAGTGCCTCAGCACCCACCCATACTGTCCTGGGCTTGCCTGCCAGTCCCTGCTCCCCCAAAATCCCTCAGAGCCTCCAGACTGGAGTTCAGCCCTAAGCACAGGGGAGCAGTGTGGGTAGAAAGAAAAGCAATCTGGTGAGGCCATGTGGTGGGCAGGGGGCTGGTTCGGGGCCCGTAGGGGTGAGTCCAATGGCAAACATGCTGTTAGTTGGGGTCTGTGGTGACGAATCGTCCATTGCTGCTGGTCCCTGCCCACCCTCCCGCGGGAGTGTGGGTCAGGGGTCCTCCCTCCACCCTCCTGGCCCGTGCCCTCTAGCAGAACACTCCAAACACAAGCTCCAATCGCATGCTGAGGAGGTGAAGAGGCCTTTCTGGCCCGAGGCTGGGAAGAACCACACTCCCCACCACTGTGGCTCCCTGGCAGCTGCCTAAATGGCAGCTGCCGTGCCAGGCACTGTGCTAAGCCCTTTGCCTGCAGGAGCTCGTTTCACGCCCAGAACAATCCTGTGAGACCGAACTACAGCGATGCCCATTTCACAGGTGGGGAAGCTGAGGTCAAGTGACCCACCCAAGGTCACAGTACCAAGAGGTGGCAGAGTGGGGCCAGGCCAGACTGACGGTAGGTAATGCACCTGCTAGTTGGGAGGCTCAAAGCAGGGGTCCACAGAAGGTACGGCCCCCCCCTTCTAGTTTTAGGAATAGCTGTTTCCCTAAACTTCAATTCCTCCTCTCTCAAATGGGGCTAACTGCGCCTAGCCCTCCTGGGGGTGTGCACAGGGACCCTCTGGAAGCCTGTGCATGTGAAGGCCTTGGAGGGTGCCTAGCGTGTAGTACATGTTCAGTAAACAAGAATCGATTCTGCCTCCTCCTCTGAACCTGTGCCAACTGCTGACACTTCAAAGCAGGCATCGGGAATGCTGCCTGAGATACTTCAGAGACCACAAGGCAAGCGGGGGGAGCAGTGCTTGGGCCTCTGCGTGAACGCTGAGGGCCCGGCAGGAGCTGTGAGGCAGCATGAGGTCAGCTGGGCCCAGGAGGGCGGCCACTGCCACGCAAGCTCTGTGGGCTCTGCCTGGCCTCTGGAGGGCTGGGACCGTGAGTGCAGGTTGGGCTGCACATGCTGAGCCTTTCCTGGCAGGAAGGAGCTGCAAAACGGGTAAAGCCCAGTGCTCCCCACGAAGGGCTTGGCAGGGGCAGGCAGGCAGCCCTGGTGCAGATGATGGACAGGGCGAGTGGGAACGCCGGGCAGTCAAATCCCAGCTCTGCCATTGACTGTAATGCAGGGCTTCAGTTTCCCCGCCTGAGAGCCTAGGATGCCACCACCCACCTCCCAGGGTGGGCTGTGTTCAAACAGAGGTCTGTGACTCCTCAGCACAGGCCCAGCACCGGCCAGGCGGGAAACCTGCCCCAGGGGACCTTCCGAGTCAGAGGCCGGCAGGGTCAGTCTGTGTGGTGTGGCGGCCCACGGCCTGGCCAGGGCTCCAACCACAGATGGCCAGCGGTGATGCAAGGGCGGTGGTGAAGGCAGGTCTGCAGCCCCAGCAGCGAGGTGTGCCTGGCCCAGCTCACCTTCTGAGCCCCCGAGAAAGCGTGGTAGAAGCAGGACACGTAAGTCATGATGGCCTTCTCATCTGGCCTCAGAGTGCCCACAATATCTGCACAGAGAGAGAGAGAAAGAGAGAGAGAGGCAGGAGAGAGTGAAAGACGCAGGGAGGGCGGCCGGGCCGGCCTGAGGCTCATGCAGGAGGAAGAGCACTTGCTCTGGACTGGAAGCCAGCCCCAGGCCTGCGTGGACATGCCTTGCGGGGTTTTGTGGAGTCCGAATAGGGTGCATTCCTTTTCTAACCGGCCTGGGCTGGAGACAGACTAGCTGTGGGCCCTATAAAGGCAGCTTTGTTTTGGGTTGGAGGAGTCAGTTGCTAAATGATCTGTCTGAAAATGTGAGTGAGCAGCTCCCACCACGGAGTAAGACCCTAAGGGGCTCCCATGGCCCTCAGAGTGGAACATGAATTTCTTATCCCACACCACAAGGGTCTTGTTGGGCCTGACCCATCACTGCGTGTCACTCACTCCTCTCTAGCTGGTCCCTGAATACGCCAAGCTTCTTCCTGTCTCAGGGCCTTCGTAGTGCTTCACCCTCTGCCTGGAACACCTGTGCCCCAGCCTGCATCTAGCAGCTCCTGCTGCAAGTACCTGCTCACTTCACCCCTCCACATTGACAGCACCAGCTGAAGGTCACCCCAGCCATCTCTGTCCCCCATCTGGCCCCATTTTCTCTATTCCACTCCTGTGACAGGCCTGCTGTATGTTTCTCCCACTAGCATGGAAGTGCCCTGAGAACAGGGACCTTGTCTGACTCAGTCACCAGGGCATCCTCAATGCCTGGAAAAGCCTGGCACAGATGAGGTACCCAATAGGTGTGTGAGCTAAGGCTGAGGGGGCAGCAACGCCAGGGAGCTGGGGGTGGCTTCCAGTTGGAGAGAGGCCACTGCCGTCTGCAAGAGAAATGAGGTGAGCACGGGAGGCGAGAGGCAGCGGCGGCATTGCGCGGTGGCGGCGAGGAGGGCCTGCCTGGCCCTGCTCGGTACCTTCTGCGCTCCTGAAAAGGCATGGTAGAAGCTGGACACATAGGTCATTATGGCCTTCTCGTCGGGCCGGGCCGTGTTCACGATGTCTGCAAGTGAACAACAAGGGTTAAACTGCCCGAGTAGGGCGGGGGGTGGAGGCGTCACTCACTGGGATCCACGGGCTCCCAAGGCCACGGCCTTGGGGGAGAGGGACCTGCAGAGTGACGCGTGACTTGGGTGGGCTCAGCCACACCCTCAGCCCCTCCCTCTCCCATGGGTCTGGAAAGGACAAGGCTGTGGGAAGCGGATTAAAATGAGGCCACTTCCTCTCTCTGAGAATGGCCTCAAGGAGCAGCAGGACAGTCAACTCCAAGGGCCACCAGAGGCCAGAGACACAGGTCCCAGCTGGGGCAGTGCATGGCTAGGAAATGGGGCAGTGCATGGCTGGGAAATGGAGCAAAGCCGGAAAAGGAAAAAACAAAACACTCCACTTTGTCGGGCTCCATACTCCATGCCTGCTGCAGGTAGGGAGGGAGAGGCCAGGGTTGCTCGCAGGAAGCCTGAAGCACCCCTCCTCAGCCACCTTGCCCTTCCTGGGCCCTGAGGAGATGCACCCTCAGGAGAGTTGATCCTTCAGCTCCCCCTCCCCATACGCTTCTTCATCCCTGAAGGCATCTGGCCAGCCCAGGCTACCCTTGCTCTGTCTCCCAGGGCGACATGGCTGTCCCCAGTTCACCCAGAATCATTCAGCCCTTCTTGCTGGCTCTGCCAGCTCCCCAAGGTGACCCAAAGCTCTGATGTGCCCACAGCCCCTTGCCCGAGGCCAGCCCTGGACAGAAAAGGCCATCAGGAAGCACAGTGGTGGCTGAACAGAAGAGATGACTTACCCTCTGCATCCAGCATCTTGGGGATGTCGAGGTATTTCTCAGCCACTTCGAAGGCATTGTTCAGGTTGGTGACAGGGTCGTCCTAGAAGGAGGCAAGTGGGGACAACAAGAACTCCGTCAGGGCAGGGTGCAGGAGCAGGAGGGAGGCAGGGCTGGCCCAGAGGGAGAGACCCGGGAGGGCGAGGGTTGGGGGTTTCTTCAGGCAGTTCTCAGCCACGTGTGATGTGTGAGCGGGAGGGCACCGCCTGGATAAATTCAATTCCCACTCACAGGAGTGCCTCGTGAAATCTTTGTGGGGCAAACCAGGGCTTTTTCTCCAGAAAAATGCAGGTGTACTCTTTTCATACAATTTCCAGCCACCCACAGACCCTAGCTTAAGCCCCTTGCCCTAAAACCTGGTTTTCACATTGACTGGAAGATGTGGGCCAGGCCTGAGAGAGCACTGGGGACTGGGTAAGGGGAGCAAACCGAGAGGTCCCAGGTCCCAACCACCCTAAAGTGTCCCCCAGCCCCCTCACAGGCTCCCCACTGCTTACAGGACTAAAGCCCACTGCACTCCAACTCTCCCTGGCCGGGGCCCAGCTCTCTTGCTCACTGTGGCTGGAACGGGCTGGGTGCCATCTGGTGCCTCCCCCAGGAAGCCCTCCTCTGGCTCTAAGCTGCCTCTTCTTCCGGGACCTTTCCTGGCTCCTGCTCGCTCGGGGTACACTAGCCTCCTCCGCAGCACTGATCTGACCCCATGCCCTGCCACCCCATTCAGCCTGAGCACATGTACACGGCCTGGTGTGGTGCTTTGCTTTGGACACAATTTTTGTCCTGCCTTCCCCCACGAGGCTGGCAGCTTCTGGTGGCCAGGGCCTGGATCCATACAGGCTTTGTACAGGCAAATGACAGCAGGACCCTGCATGGGCAACATGGGCTTGTGGTGATGGTTTGGAATTCCTTGCCCTCTGCCCCTTTGGGCAGAGGAGGTTCTAGAATCCAGAAGATTGAGGAAGGGGAGTTATAAAGCATGGCTGGCCAGGCCCTTAAATAACCCCGGGTTGGTTGCAGTGCCATGGAGGGAGACTGGACAGTCCACGAGGGGAATAAGGGAGGTGAGAGTCAGCCACCGAGCCAGGGGTTGCGGAGAGCCTGCACAAGGCTCTCCCAGGCTGCCCATCTGCGTGCAGAACCCAGATCTGGAGGCTGGCGATGGAAGGGCATGGGGATGGTGACCCGGAGTTAGGGGGTCAGACAGGGCACGTCTGTGGGCCATCAAGGGGAGCTGGAGACACTCACCTTCCTCAGCTTGTCATACTCAATCAGCTCTGGTCTGTGCCGGTGGATCAGGGCATTGAAGGCAAGACCATCCTTCCAGCTGGGGAAGGAAAGGCAAAGGTTATAGGAGGGCCCGCTCACTGTCATGAGAGTGCCGTATGGCCCTGTGCACCCACAGCAGTGACTAATTCCCATTCACTGCAGTCTGGCCTGTGCCAGGCACTGCATGGAGACAGTGTGGCAGAGAGGCTGCAAGCATGACCTCTGGGGCCAGGCAGTCTGTGATCAAATCCTGACTCTTCTGCCTACTGACAGTGTGACCTCGGGTAAGCCAGGCTATCTCGGTTTCCACATCTGTATGATGGGGATAGTGACATACCTGCTACATAGGGCTGTTGTGCGGATTAAATGAGTAAATGCTTGGATCAGTGCCTGACTCCTGACAACTGCTTTATAACTGCTAGCACCTTCCATGGGAGGCCGCCCTGAACCAGACAGGCCGCTTCGGGGGAGGTGGCCACTGCAGGATGCTGGTGTTTGTGCTGTGTGGCCTCCACACCCTGGCGGACCTGACTTACAGGAAGGCCAGTCCGTGGGCTGGCTAAATGCCAGGATTTCACTTGGCATGCTGGTCTCTGGAGGAAAGAGACCTTCCCCAAGGCCACAAGTTGGTCAGTTACAAGCTATATGGGTCACATTCTCCTCCCTGAGACCCTCTAAGGGTTGGTTCCCTCTGAGGTCAAGCTCGATGTCACCTCCTCAGAAAGGCCACCCAGGGAACTTTCTTCATCTGACTTCCCTGTCTTTGTGCAGCACTTCTCACTGAAGTTATGCTGCAGGATTACTGGCCGCTGTGCTAACAGCTGGTCCCCGCGCTGTGGTGTAAACTTCCCACAAATGGGAACTTTGTTTGGGTGCCACTGTATCTCCACTAACGGCATGCAGCGGGCATGCTAGATACTTACTAGTTGAAGAAAATGAATGGAAACTATAGAAAGATTCAGTCAGTTAGTGGCAGGAAAAAAAAGAAGACACACAGAGAAGAGTGACCAAGGGAGGGACCACATGCTATCAGGGTGAGCACGATGGGAAAAGCCCTCTGTACCCAGCAAGGGTCCCAGAGAGCCTGAGGCCGCTGCAAACCCCATGAGGCCCTGCTCTTCATTCCTGTGCGGGCCATCCAGGAGACTCAGAGGGTGGAGCCACAAGGCAAACCGGATCTGACCTCAGGACCGCCCCCAGAGCCAGTGCTCCCAACCACCAGGCAGGCCTGCCTCTTGCCGCCCCCTGGACCTCATGCGGCAGTGCCCATGCTCGCCTCAGCTACGGGGATGGTGGACATGTCTCATCTCCCGCTCACCCTGAGGGAAGCAGGTTCATGGTGGAGCTGAGGCTTGTTCATCTTAGCAGCCACAGAGTACATTTTTCCCCAACACTAAATTTACTAGCAATTCTAAAAACAATTCACTCCTGAGCTGTCAAAATAAAGGAAGAGGCCAGAGGCAGGCAGTGGCTCACATCTGTAGTCCCAGCACTTTGGGAGGCCGGGGTAGGAGGACTGCTTGAGCTCAGGAGTTCAAGTCCAGCCTGGGCAACATAGGGAGACCCTGTTCCTACTAAAAATAAAAATTAAAAATTAGCCAGGTGTGGCTGCATGCACCTGCAGTCCCAGCTACTTGGGAGGCTGAGACAGGAGGATCACTTGAGCCTAGGCCAAGGCAGCAGGGATGAGTGATCACACCACTGCCCTCCAGTCTGGGTGACAGCACAAGACCCTGTCTCAAAAATGAAAAGCTTTATTGTTGCTTCTGAGAGTCACCTTGCCTGGGGACGAAGAACGTTCTATTAGGCCGGCGAGAGGGCTGACCTTACTGCCTTCAGCCAGGATGGCTGGGAAACTGCCTCCTCTTCCTCAGAGAGGACCAGGTGACCTTCCCATGGGCTTGTAGGGCCCGTGGCCAGGGAGGGGCTGACTGAGGGCTGGCATCTCACAGACCACGACAAAAACACAGCAAACAGGGCAGGTGGGAGGAAGGATCTCAGGTTCCTAGAGGAAAGGAGAGGATGACCAGGACTGGCGCTTACCTGATGTGGAAGTTCTGCACATTGACGTTCTTATACGGGGCTGTCTTTCTCTGGCACCAGAGAAGGAGCCCTTCCTTGGCCGAGGTCTCTGCAAAACACACAAAGACAGTGAGCACTGGCTCAAAAATAAACCCTCAGAACTCAGCCCAAGTTGGATGGGACTTTCGGCTCAGGCCTGGGGTCAAACGAAACCCAAGGGGAGAGGATATCTGTCCTAACAACAGCAGCAGTGATAGCAGCGGGACAGCCACTCCCATTCCGGATGCAGACGGATGCTGCCAGGCCCAACTGCCAGGACACACGGCCCTGCTTAATCCTCACGGCCCCGAGGAGAGTCGCTTGACCAGGGCTGCCCCAGGAGGTGGTGGTGTCAGGGCCTGAATCTGTGCCATGTGCCTGGCCACCAAGCCTGTGCCTTTCACCACCAGAACACACTGCAGACAGGCCCTTGATACCGGCCTTGGCCTCTTTTGAACAAGGTGAAATACCAGCTGTAGAGAGGCCTAGGGGGCCCTTCTGTTCCCCGTGGATAGCTCGGCTGTCCTCACAGACCGGGAGCCCTTCGAGGGCAGGAAGCACATCTCTCCCAGTCATCACTGCGACCTGGCACCTGGGAGCCCCTGCACGCTAGCCCAGGTGGCTCTGCCCATCCTGTGTGCACACAGGTGCTTGCAGGGAAGCGAAATTGTCCATTCCTGGACGGCCTGAGCTCATAACGGGTCCATGGGGGCCAAGTTTCAAGGATGGGGATGTCAAGCAGACAGAGAACCAGGCCCAGGCCCAACTCTCTCACTAGTCTGTTCTGGGACTTGGGTTCCTGGACTGTAAAACGGGCCCAGCCATCCTAGCCCATCTCATGAGGGTGGCGTGAGGGTCCACTGAGATGAGGCTGTGAGAGCAAAGGCACTCGGAAGGCACTGGAGCCAAGAGGCAGGCAGCTGGGAGGAGCCTCCCTTCACCTGCCACCCACTGACTACCCCTGCAAGGGCCAGGCCCTGTGAGTGACCCCAAGGAAACAGGAAGAGGCTTGAAGCATGAAGATCACACTTCAGCTCTCCTCTAACCCGCCCTGACTCAGGTGGGAAGCGGGGGCAGTACAGGTGGCTGTCACCTTCCACGGAGATGTCCTGGATGGCGAACCTAAGGATGATGGTCCAGATCATTCCCAGGGTCATCTTTGCGTTGCCGTCCACAATCTCTGCACACAGGGAAGGGGGCAGAGGGCAGAAGGTCGTTAAAACCAGAGTGAGGCTCCTCCGCCCAACCTGAAGGTGGCCTTCCAGCCCCATCTAGAGAAAGGCTCCAAACCACCCCCTGGTTGCATCTCCCAGGCCTGTCCTCCTCCACCTCCCTCAGGAGAAAATGCAGGGAACAGTCTCTAGGCAGCACTGTCCCAGAGCCTCCTGCTGCTGAGCGCCTGCAGGCTTCTGGCCACAAGGGTCCCTGGCCCCGCAGCCAGCTCCTTCTCCTGACCCAACTCAAAAAACCGCTCCTCCAAGAGGCTGGTCCCAGGCGTGTGGCCTCTGTTCACACCTCTCTCAACTCTCAGTGCTCTGTACATTTCTGCCGTAATCTGCGTACCTCCTGACTACAGGGGGGCACCCCGGGCCCCCACTCTCAGGGCAAAGGTGGTCTTTTTCATCTCGCAGTCAGCAAATGTGCACTACATTATTGTTTATTGTGAATCTGTCCACTTCCTTCCAATCCTACTGCCGACACTCTCCACCAAGCCACTGTCATCTCCAGAGCTCAATGCGGCTGCCTCCTATGTACCCTTCCCGCCCATAATCCACATCGACACAGCAGCGAGCATGGTTGGTTTCCTTCTTTTGAGACAGGGTCTGGCTGGCTGGAGTGCAATGGTGTAGTCATAGCTCACTGCAGCCTTGACTGCCTGGGCTCAAGCAATCCTTCTGCCTCAGTCTCCCGAGTAGCTGGGACCACAGACGCATGCCACAACATCTTGCTAGTTTTTAAACTTTTTGTAGAGGCTGGGTCTTATTATGTTACCCAAGCTGGTCTCAAACTCCTGCTCAAGTGATCTTCCTGCCTTGGCCTCCCAAAGTGCTGGGATTGCAGGTGTGAGCCACCATGCCTGGCCCACAGGGAAAGGGCTTGCCCTGAAGGCCCAGGCCCTGCCATCCTGCTGGAATTCTCTAGCTGCATCCTCTGGGCAAGCCAGGCTCTTTCTTGCTTTGATACGCTCTGTCCACTCACAAAGCACGCCCCTAGCCTGCGACCCTCAACTGGCTGGTCCTTCTCATCGTGTAAGCTTCTGCTTGTGTCACCTCTCGTGGTGGCTTCCCTGACTGCCCGTCCCAAGGAGCTCCCCAACCCGCCACCCAGTTCCTCTCCCTGGCCCCTGTGCTGCCCCAAGGCATCACTAGTGAAATCACATGTTGGTCGGGCTGTTTACTTGTTCACTGTCTGCCTGCCCTCGTGAGGGCGGGGCTGCTCTGACCACCACTGGATCCAGTGCCTGGAAGGCCAGTGAGGAACAAGCATGGCTGCTGTGTTGTCAGGAAGGGGAGAGCACGGGCCTGAGGCCAGACTGCACGCTTTCTGAACTAACCTAAAAACAAACATTTGCGGCCGGCTGTGGTGGCTCACGCCTGTTTAGTCCCAGCAATTTGGGAGGCTGAGGCAGGTGTGGATCGCCTGAGGTCAGGAGTTCGAGACCAGCCCGGCCAAGATGGTGAAGCCCCGTCTCTACTAAAAACACAAAATTAGCCTGGCGTGGTGGCGGGTGCTTGTAATCCCAGCTACTCTGGAGGCTGAGGCAGGAGAATTGCTTGAGCCCGGGAGGCAGAGGTTGCAGTGAGCTGAGATTGCACCATTGCACTCCAGCCTAGGTGACAAGAGTGAGATTCCATCTCAAAAAAAAAAAAAAAAAAATTGCTGAAACTTCTCAAAAGAAGGGCTTGGACCACACCTTCTTCAGCCTCAGTAACTTAAGAGAAAAATCATCTCTGCAAGGCCCAGGACAGCTGTGTGTCTGCGGCTGGGTGAGAGAAGGCAGTGCCTCATCCCAGAGTCCATCAGCCAGCCGTGCCTAGGGCAGTCCTCCCAACTTGTCAACACGCCATATGCAAGGGGCATGATGGAGTGGCTTCCAAAGAAGACAGAGGGGCGCCACTGCTGCAAGCACTCTCGGGGAAGGGCTGGGCACAGGGGTGAGTTCCAAAGCTAACTGCAGAGCTGGAGGCCCAGGACACCACAGGAGACCCTGCTCACTGACCTCTGAGCAGAATACTCCAGGGCAGGCTTGCTTGGAAGCAGGTGGAGAGGTCACAGAGAAGATGGGGCTCACCTTCCCCCGGGGACACACCCAGAGGAAGGGGGTGTCCATGAGCCACAGCTTTCGGGTTTTGAGAGGAGGAAATATGCTCATTCTGCTGCCCAGAGACAGGGGAGGGACCCAGTGTCCACCCTGTCCTAGGGTTCAGAGCCCCAGACCCAGAAACTGAGCAGCACCACCTGCCCCTTAGTGCAGCGAGGCAGCTCGAGCCTCAGGAAATCTATTCTGTGCACCTCCTGAGGGCCGGGCCTGCAGAGCTGGGCAAGGCCGCAGCTCCCCGGCTCAGCAAGTACAGGTGCAGCTGGTAACGGAGGGCTTATGGAGTTCCGGTGAGGAGAGGAGGATGGCGTTTCTCATGACACATCCACCAGCTGCTTCTCTGACCTGCAGCTGTGCCTCCGGCCCCTCTCATCACCCCCACGGGAAGCCAATGCTCCCGCGAATGCCCAATCATGTGGAAGGACAGGGGGACAGGGTGGGGCGGGGTTCTCAGGTGCCTTGAGCCCCAGGAACGCCTCCATTAGGCTTTGTTCCAAGGCCCCACAGTCACAGGGATTGGGAGTGAACCAATTTGGGCATGAACAGAGAACATTTTTAGACCAAGTTTTTCTCCAAATGAAAACTGATGACTGACATGGGTCTCTCCTCTAACCCCTTCTGTATTTACAGACTAGCATTTGAGCAAAATAAATGCAGCTGTGAGAAGCAGAAGGCTGGAACAGAGCCTGGAGGAAAGACCCATGCAAGGACAGAAAATCTCAGGGCCTGACTGAATTTTTGGGTTGTGATTTTTTTAAACAAACACCAACCACCTCGACTGTGGCATGCAAGGCTTGGCACCCCTCATCGCAGAGGTCCTGGGCCGGGGCAGAGCCTTGGAACTCAGCACACACATTCTGGCCCGGAGTCTTGGCCAAACTCTCAGAGCCCTGTCATTAACGGCAATTAGTTTACTTTGTTTTTCTAGAAGCTGGGACAACATGGATGTCAGGGTGAAGAAATCTTACTCTGACTAATGAGTGGACTGCGAGCTCATGCTGCTGGGGCTCCATCAGGCCTCGCCTGTCTCTAAAAGCGCCTGGGAGCTCAACCCAGGGGCCCCTGCTGAGAGCCTGCTGCTCTAGTGAGGGCCTGCAGGTAGTGGACTGTGGTCCTGGTTATCTACGTGGGGCCCAGGAGGATCCTGGGGTGGTCAGAGGCAAAATTCTCCAAGCCCATGCACACAGGGCAAAGTCTAGGCACTGACCTTTGGCCGTGCACTCCCTGTCCCAATGCCTGACATGGGGCCTCCAGTCCTTCTCTGATACCGGGCAGGGCATAATGAGAAAGGTGTTCCTGGTACAGAGAGAGGCCATGGCACATGTTTGTCACTGTCTGCTGAGCCTGGCACAAGGAGAACCAGTGAGGGCGACCTGAGTCCGAGTCAAAACCATTCCTCCCCCTGCAGAAGCCGTCGCCCCCGTGGTTGGGTGGGTTGCACTTCCTAGATTTGGACTGCGCCCACCGGATTTTTCCAAGGGTTTGGGGGAGCTTGTGGGCCCAGCATCATATCAAGAGCAGTTGTTGTGATCACTGCTGAGTATGTACTGGGGCTCTGAGTGCCCCAAGCGCCCTGCCACCAACAAAACTTCTCTTCAGGATGCAGATGTTGTGCTTCAGAGCCTAAAGGTCAGAAACCGAGCAGGACCCTCGCTGCCCCACCTCCAGCTCACCTTCTGCCCCGATGGAGACCAGCTTGACGCCTTTGCTGGCAATAAAGTCCAGCGCTTTGTTCACATTGTTGATTTTGTGCACTCTCATCTTCCCCCGCTCCGGCTTAGGTAACCGCTCCCCTGAGAAGTGCACAAAGAGAAAAGAGGGGGCGAGACAGAGAGAGAGAAAGGGAGAGAGGGCGAGAGGGAGAGAGGCTTTAGAGTCTCCTCTGTTCTCCAAAAGCAGGTTCCTCTGCTGGCCCACCAGGCCACTCTGGCCCCACCCATCAGACCACCGTGCAGCTATTAAGGGGTGCCCTCTCCTCCCCAGGAGCAATGGGACAGCTGGGTGGGCAGGGTCTCTGGGGACCGCTGTGGCAGAGCACCTGTGCCAGGGCTCGGCCGCACTGCGTGGCTGGGAGTCTCACCTGATATGACCTCCAGGAGCAGCATGAGCTTGAGCCCGTCTCGGAAGTCCTCATCAATGTTCTCGATCTGTGTGCCTGCCTTCCGCAGGTGGGAGTTGCACCATGCCGTGAAGGTCTGGGGAAGCAGAACAAAGGACAGTGCGCAGAGTCAGCCTGGCTGTCGGGGCTCTCTCCACACACCTGCAGGGCCGCAGCTCTGACCTCAGGAGAACCGCAGCTGCCACGGAGCACTCGCCGACACACACCGTACATGGCCGATACACACATTGTTTCTGATCCTTACAGTGACCCCGGGAGGCAGATGTGAGGAAACTGAGGCTCGGGGTGGTTAATGACCCATCACAAGACCATCCAGGCGGTAAGTGGCAGAGCTTGGATTTGAACCCAGGTCTGTCAATTTTGGCAACATGTGCTTTTTCCACACCCCCAAGCTGCCTCAAGGGAGACCAGTACGCACACCAGACAAAAGCGCCTCAGCCCGCCGCCGGCTCACTCAGTCACACAAACATGACTGAGCACCAGGCTCGGTGGTGTGGAATGAACAGGTCGGGCTCCTGCCCTCATGGGGCTTGTTTTCTTGATGAAGGCCAGCCCTTCATCTGCCAGCTAGACCCAAAGGCCCCAGCTGGACCCTGGCTTCCGTGACCCGTGGCTGCTCTCCTCAGGCAGGAGCTCAGGCTGCTACGTTCCAATCACGTGCACAGATACAACCCAGAACAGGAAAGTGGCAGGAAAAGAAAAGCTCCCATAAATGCAGGATTTCCTCGAGTCTCTCTTTGAGCTTTGGGCAGCCCAAGAGCAAGCCCTCCCAGGAAAGGCCAGGAACACAGACCCTCTGAGCCCTGCACACACGCCTGTGTCGCCTGGCTTCCTGCAAGCAAGATGCCCCCGTCCCTCTGTCTCCTGGAGAACATGCCATGCCCTATCCTTCCTATTCTTTTTTTTCCTTTTTTTTTTTTTGAGAAGGAGTCTCGCTCTGTCACCCAGGCTGGAGTGCTGTGGCGCAATCTCAGCTCACTGCAATCTCTACCTCCTGGGTTCAAGCGATTCTCATGCCTCAGCCTCCTGAGTAGCTGGGACTACGGGTGTATGCCAACATGCCCATCTAATTTTTGTCTTTTTAGTAGAGATGGGGTTTTACCATGTTGGCCAGGCTGGTCTTGAACTCCTGGCCTCAAGTGATCTACCCGCCTCGGTCTCCCAAACTGCTGGGATTACAGGCGTGAGCCACCACACCCAGCCCTATCCTTCCTATTTTTAAGACTCAGTGCAGCTTAGAGGAGGCTGGAAGGCAAGTGGGAGGCAGGCCCCCTCACCGGGGTCAGGCAGCCGCATCTAAGGAGAATGTTTCTGATGATCAACTGGAAGGGATGGAGGGTACTAAACAAGAAGCCGAAGTCCCTGACCCTAACAGACCAACGATGCTGACAGGGCATGGGTACACCCAAGCACAGGGCACGCAGCCTCCTGGTGGTGCCCGGCTACTCAGCCCCCTGCAAGCTGGGGCATGCTCATAGACATCAGGGCCACAGAAGATCTCAGATCAGTTAACACCAACACGCCCAGGCGCCTTCAGGGAAACCAGCCCACGCACCCTCCTGCAACAGGACCTGGGAAAAACCCCAAGTGTCTGCTTCTTATAGGAACCCCTGTACCCCACCCCCTCCATCTGCAGGGGCCAGTGTAGAAGCAAGCAGACAGCCAGGGACACACAAGAGCACATTCCACGCCCCGGGTGCAGGCGGAGGCCATGCGGAGGACAAGGGGCTTCTACGGGGGCTCTGACCAAGCACCATGTGTTTTGACAACTGTCGCCAGCCCTGCTCATTCAGGGAGACTCGACACAAAGCCCCCTCCCAGACAAAGCAGCTGCCTAATTAATACGCCATACCAGTGTGGACCCAGCATGGGGCTTCCTTCCAAATCCGAAAGGGGGCAAGAGTGGACAGCTAGACCATCCCCCACCACCACCTCTCACCATGGAGAATTCCTCTACCTGGGAGACAGAGACCCCTCCTGGTGGCACAACGCTGTTCCCCCACTAAAGATACCTCCGCCCCGCCATGTAGCCAACCCTGGGCACCCCTCAAAAGTCAGGCCAAATGCCGTGCCTGGAGGGTACCCGCACCATGGCCTCCCTGACCCGGTTCTGCCTCAGACAGCCTCCTCCCTGCAGACCACATCACGCCCTTGCTCTCTGGTCTCTAACAGTTCTTGTCTCCAACAGTTCTTGTCTCCCTCCCTCCCACGGCTATGAACTCCTTGAGGGGAGGGGAGCCAAGGCAGGTTCTCACTGCGGAGAGTACTAACTCACCTTCCCAGCCTCCCCCATACAATACTGAATTCAGAGAGCCCAGGGCGGGAACCATGCTTACACCACTCATGTGGGCACGTCACCTAACCTTCCTAACTTCCATTTCCTCCTCTGCAACGTGGGGATGAAGACCCCACCTAGGCCACGGGCAGTGTGAGGACTCAAGATGGCCATGCCTGCAGCGTGCATGGCAATGCTCAGGAAGTGGCAGCTCTCTGGATGGCCCTGTGCCTCCCAGCATCTCCTCCCTCCCTGCCCTGGTCTCAGGAGTCCTGCCCACCCCCTCCACAGTGTGCCTGCTCTGTCCCCGGCCCACCCTCAGCACCTCTCCCGTAGCAACCCCCAGTCACTTTTAGTCTTATTGGATGTTGCATGCACATGAGCTTTCTCTCCTACCATGTGCGAGCTCCAGGGGTTGGGAAGTACGGCGCCTGCACCTTTACAGCCCCAGAGCACTGCCAGCCTTGATGGCAGGCAGCAAGCAGGCGTGGAGCCCAGGAGCCCAGCAGCCCTGCAGAGCAAAGGGCAGCAGCAAATGGGCTGGGAAGGAAGTGGCCACGGATGCTAGGCCTCTACTCTCACATGTGCCTGAGAGCAGGCACTGCTGGGCAGCAAAGTAGCCAAGACACATCCCACAGCCTGAGGACAAAAGAGGGCTGTTCCCCGAGGGCAAGGCCCCGTGCTCTGGTGTTGCCAGGCCCAGACCTAGGCACCTGGGCTGCAGGGAGGGCCACGCACGCGTGCAAACAGCACCCCTCACAGCCTTGGCCTGTGTGGGCTGCTCCTGCAGGCTCTGCAGGGGCACAGACCTGGGTTTGGGTTTGAATACCTGCCCCTTGGCTTACTCATTCCATGTTTTCAACCAAGTGACTTTACCTACTTAAGTCTGTTTCCTTCCCTGTAAGATGGATTTATCAGAATCTACCTCCTGCAGTGTGCTCTAAGAATTAAACTAGGGAAAATACATTTAAAGCATGTGACAGGCTCCTTGGCATAAAGTAAGAGCCAGATGAATCACACGCATGTGTGTGCATGTACACACGCACATAAGCACGTGCTGAGATCCAGTCTCTTCTCTGCAAAGGCTCTCAGACCACCCACTGGTATGCAGGGAAAATGGGATGGCAGGAGACCCTCTGCGGATGGCCCCACCCCACCCTGTGGAGGCTGTGAACAAACCTCGCCGCTTGGGTTCTGGCCACCTGTCCTCAGAGGGGCTGCTGCCCTACCCGCCCTCCATACGTACATCCCACCTGTGCTCATCTTCTCTGGGTAGTAAACAAGAGCTCTGGCTTGGGCATCACACAGGTGCGGATTCACATCTTGCTTCTGCCACTGAGGCCTCAGGCAAGCAATAAGCCTCAGTTTCCTCACTGATAAACAGGACAGTAACCGAGAGGTTAAGATAGGGATTAAACACAAGGACACATGTCAATCACTCCGTGCTGTGTTAAATGCATGTCAAAGGAAGGTTTGCTCTGAAAGCAATGGTAACTCTTCCGTGTACTCTGTCTTCCTGACTGACACAGGCAAAGCCCCAAGCACAGGTGCTCAGGGAGGATGCCCACTCGCCTGGCCTGGATGACGCAGAAGGGAACTCCCACCCAGATCCGGACCTGACACAGGCTTGGGGAACCCCACTGATGCACTCCTGTTCTCACCCCATGTCTTGCTTTGCCCTGTTTTGTCCTCCTGGAAGATGAGGGGCATCTATTGACATCAGAGGTTCACAAAGCCCTCAGCTCTGGTGAGGAGAGCCTGCACTCACAAGGCCACCCTTGGGAACAGGTCGACCATGACGGCCACTTCTCCATGCGGAGAGACTGGTGAGTAGGAGCTGGAGTTCGAATGGGACATTAAAAATTCATCGCTTCTTCTACTTGGTTACAAAAATAACACTCTGCTTCCATCCTTCCTCTCCCTACCCGGTTTAGACTACGCTGCGTGGGGTGGATGGTGTGGAGAGGTGGTTTCTATAGATGGGGGCCCTATGCGCCCACCACGCCGCCCTCCACCATGCAAAATTCTCAGAATGTGGGCAGCCGACCTCATGATGCCCCAGGCCACCATGGGTCCGTACATATTCATTCTCTGGACAAGCATATGCTGGGGGTCAGCAGAGGGCCAGGCCCTGTGCTGAATCCATAACAGTGAGCAAAAGCAGACACTCTCATGAGGCTCCAGGTCTGATCTCATTAATCAAGCGATCAGTCCACTCCAGAAATAACGCCCTTAGGAAAAGTGGTAATAATAACAGCAATAACTGCAGCAGACACTTCCATAGAGTCTACTAGGGGCGGGCACTGCTCGAGGCACTTGGTCACTTACTAATTCTGTCACCCTCGTAATCATCTCTGGAGGGAGGTGCTAGTACTGCCTCCATTTTGCAGATGAGGAAACGGAGGGCCTGAGAGGTGAAGTGGCTTGCTCCCATCAGTCACACACCTAGAAAGTTACAGAGCTGGGTTTAAAGCCAGGTGCTGGGCTCCTGGGGCCGAGTTTGTGTCACCTCCCCTGGGATGGGAGCTGAAGAGTGCGGTCAGCATGGTGGCGGGGTGGGGGGGCACCAAGCGACTGGTGAGGCAGACACAGAAAGGTGTCCTTGAAGAAGTCATTCTCAAACTCTGAGCTGAAGGATGAGGAGTTAATAAGATAAAAATGAGGGAGACCTTCCAGATACTGGGAAGAGCATGTGCCAAAGCCCTCCTGCAGAAGGGACAGAGCCCACTCCGAGAAGGAAGGGAGTAAAGAAGTGAGGCTGGCATGCTGGCCTCACAAAGCCATTAAACGGTCATGCTGTCCCTGCCATGCAGGGAAAGAGCCGAAGGGGACAAGGGTCAATGTGTGATGGCCAGGAATAAAGCAGGGTGAAGAGCCCCTGAGAGAAACTTCCTCCCCCTGGCAGGAAGAGGAAGGCAGAGGTGCCCTGCCGGCACGCCAAAGAAGAAATGCAAACTCAAGGTTTCTATTTCATTTGGGAGGAACCAGAGCTGCCAGCCCTCTGTGGGAGGAGGGAAAGGCAAAAAGCATCGAGCTCTCCTGGGCTTCATGATCGCGGTCATCTTCCAGGGGCAGCAGCGACTCTGACTGTCCAGAACGTGGCAGTGGCCATGCCCTCAGGACCGCAACTAAGAGGCATGCACCTGCCTCACAAATACTGACTTGGAGCCCTATTATGTACTGGACACAGGAGGAAGCAAAACAGTTATCATTTACATTCTGGCCAGCCAGGCATGGTGGCACACACCATGTAATCCCAGCACTTTAGGAGGCCGAGGCGGGAGGATTGCTTTAGCACAGGAGTTTGAGATCAGCCTAGGCAACATGGCAAAACCCCATCTCTACAAAAACTACAAAAATTAGCCAGGCGTGGTACTGAGCGCCTGTAGTCCCAGCTACTCGAGAGGCTGAGGTGGGAAGACAGCTTGTGCCTGAGAGGCAGAGGTTGCAGTAAGCTGAGATTGTGTTAGTGCACTCCAGCCTCGGTGACAGAGCCAGACCCTGTCTCAACCCGCCCCCCCGCAAAATTACATTCAGCACGGGGGTGCGGGGGGCATGACATATTAAAGGTAATTATGCTATAACGGCTAATTGCTAGTTCTTACTATTTACACATTAGCAACTCTTTAAAACCTCCAACCCCATGATCACATGCGATATATCTCCATTTGATGAGGAAACTGAGGCAGGGAGAGGTTCAGTGACTTGCTTAATGTCACACAGACACAGATGATACATACAAACACGGGGTGGGCATTCATTCCACGATGTCTGAGTAGAATGGGAGGTGCTGGCCAGTGAGGGAGAGACAGCAGAGTCAGGTCAAGAAGCCCCCAGCCAGGGCCGGGCGCAGTGGCTCGCACCTGTAATCCCAGCACTTTGGGAGGCCGAGGCGGGCGGATCACTTGAGGTCAGGAGTTCAAGACCAGCCTGGCCAACATGGTGAAACCTCGTCTCTACTAAAAATACAAAAATTACCTGGGCGTGGTGGCGGGCTCCTATAAACCCAGCTACTCGGGAAGCTGAGACAGGAGAATCGCTTGAACCTGGGAGGTAGAGGTTGCAGTGAGCCAAGATCGCGCCACTGCACTCCAGCCTGGGAGACAGAGTAAGACTCGGTTTCAAAAAAAAAAAAAGAAGGCCCCAGCCCACCCTTGGTCCCCAAGCTAGAGGTAAACTCAGAGAACAAGGCAGGCAGGCAGAGCAACGCCCCAGCAGATCACCCGCTTCGCAAAAGGTGGCCCCGCTCCTCCCAGCCTGTCCCTGGCCCTCCTGTGAAGGCAGCCTGCACCCAGCCCTTGACCTATCTAGGGAGGAAGGAAGGATGTGGACTCATCTGTCTTTGAGAACACATGTGAACCAAACCACAGAGAGGAGGCTTCAGAGCTTGCCCCTGCACACGGGCAGCCTATTAAAGAGGCTTCTCTGGTTGCTAAAATAGCACAGGGTGTGAGTGCGGGGAAGGGGGGTGGAAGAACAGAGAAAGGCAAGCTTGTCAGTTGAGTTGGGATCCACTGTCACCCCTCCGTGTGCCAAGGCCCATGGTGACCCAGCTAAGGCGGGCTTCAGGGGGCCCCAAGAGCAGTTTCTGCTTTGTCACTGTGGGCTGCAGGAGGGAGACGGAGACCTAGCATCTCTGGTCATAAAGTCCTTCCTGCGTCACAGGGACCCCTCCCAGCCGCCAGGATGTGGGGCGGTAGGTGAATGAATGATGGATATTGTTCAGGAGGTGACCTAAGCACCCAGGAATGTGGCAGCAGTGGGCTTTAATGAGCCATTCATCAATGATTCCCTCCCTCAACCCGAAGAGGCAAAGCCCTCTCTACTCTGGGGCGCTGATTAAGAAACAAACATTCGGCAGACACAGGGCAACCGAGTGGTTCCAGTGGGCAGAGCGATGGTGAGCTGGAGGGAAGAAAGGGCCTTGGTGGGATGCGGCTGACCCAGCTGAACAAACTCGCCTTCTCTTTTCTTCCTGCCTTCCTGTTACAAAACATGTTCTCAGAACTGAAGGGGGTGGAGGGAAATGGCTGTTGGAAGCTGGAATTCCACTAAGCCCAGAATAAAGGGAGTCTCTTGCAAAGTCGCTTTGGGCCTAGAAATAGGCTCGAGCGATCCCTCAGGAGGGGTGAGCATGCCGGCTCTGCACTGTGTAGCACATGATCCAGACTGGATCGCAGGCTTCACTCTCCCCACCCACCAGGCTGATGCTCACATGTGGATTCCACGGACCCCACGCTTGACAAGATTTTAGAAAAAAACGTTTGCTGCCTCATGCCGCAACCCTCTTCTGCCGTGTACACTGCCCACCCGCCTAGCAGGATATCACCCAGGAGGACCAGCCTGCATGCATTTTGCCCAGGCTCAGGGTTGACTGCAACTGGCCACAGCCAGCCCCAACCCCAGGTACCCGGAGGCCAGACGGAGCTCCCTAGCACCCTGGGAGTTTTCAAACCTTGGCTCTGAAATACCGTGTAGGGTTTGTCGCTCCGCTGGGGCATCAGTTGCTTTGAGGGGGAGGGCGCCGTCCCACCTCCTGAACTTCCACCTTGCCTGCTGTGGCCTCTGACGCTGCCCATGGTTCCTGCTTCCATGGGTCCTAGGGAAGGGTGTCCAGGGCTTGGACACAGGGGAGGTACAGCTATTTATTCCTGGGTAGGCTTATCACCTGGGTAGGCCTTCTTATCACCCATCTGGCAGGCTATTGCCAGACCTCAGGCAAGGCCTAGCCCCACTGGGGCATCTTTTCAGTTCCTGAAAGCAGAAACGGCTCCCCAGCCCATGGGCTTCATCACCAACTATAAAGGCGCTTTCAGGGCCAGACGGCTAAGCCTTCTGGAATCTGGGTTACCAGCGGCACAGGCAGAGATGCTCGCCCTGGCAAGGGGGCCCGTGGAGCCTCTGGCCTGTGAGACTGCACACCTGAGCACTTTTTGAAGATCCACTGCCACCAGATTCTGAAGGAGATAAAAGCCAGGAAGCAGGTTGAAAGAACAGAAAACGAGCAGGTCACAATAACACAGCCACAAATTAGATGGGTGCAGCAACGTGGGACGCAGACAGCCCTACTGCCCAGGCAATCAGGGCTAGCACTGCGGCAGTTCAGCGACACACGGGGCAGCCTGTCCAGGACCCAACCCCAGCCAGGGGCAAAGCAAGTGCACTGTGTGTGCCTGTTACATGACGACATAACCTAATTTGAAAGCAATTACAGTGAAATATGGAATGCGTCTTATGTCCTGGCCTGAAGTTGCCTTATTCGGAGTTTTCTCAGCCTGCATGAAAAAGCTCTGACTTCGCAGTTGGAGAAGAGGTATAAATACTGCTGAGTGGGGTAGCGAGCATTCCAAAGGTCCTGCGTGTCCACCCAGAAACCAGCTCTTTGCACCCGGCCCCCTCCCTGCAGCCAGTGTTCCAGTCTTGGACAATCCCCTTTGAGGTGCCAGAAAGCGTGCGTGTTGCTGCTGCAAAGGACGGATTTTGTTTGTTTGTTTGTTTTGAGACAGAGTCTCGCTGTGTCGCCAGGTTGGAGTGCGGTGGCATGATCTCGGCTCACTGCAGCCTCCACCTCCCGGGTTCAAGTGATTCTCCTGCCTCAGCCTCCCGAGTAGCTGGCATTACAGGCACCCACCATCACACCCGGCTAATTTTTATATTTTCAGTAGAGACGGGTTTCTGCCATGTTGGCCAGGCTGGTCTCGAACTCCTGATCTCAGGTAATCCACCCGCCTCAGCCTCCCAAAGTGCTGGGATTACAGGCGTGAGCCACCGCGCCAGGCCAAAGGATGGATTTTGGAGTGCTGTCTCCTCCTCATGAGAAATACTGGTCTAAGACTTTCGTCTAGCTCTTTATAGAGCTGGTTTTGTCTCATCACTCAGGACTTGCCTCAAATGTCAGCAACCCAGGAGGCCTTCCTGGACTCTGTCATCTCCCCTAGGCTATCACTCCACTCTGCGTTGTTGGGTTTTTTTTTTTGTTTTTTTTGTTTTTTTTTTTTTGAGACGGAGTTTCACTTTTGTTGCCCAGGCTGGAGTGCAATGGCATGATCTCAGCTCAACGCAACTTCTGCCTCCTGAGTTCAAGCTATTCTCTGGCCTCAGCCTCCCGAGTAGCTGGGATTACAGGCCTGGCTAATTTTTTATTTTTAGTAGAGACGGAGTTTCTCCATGTTGGTCAGGCTAGTCTCGAACTCCCAACCTCAGGTGATCCGCCCACCTCGGCCTCCCAAAGTGCTGGAATTACAGGCGTGAGCCAACACACCCGGCCTCACACTGCATTGTTTTACTCACTGCACTTTTCATCATCAAAAACTATGTTCTTTGTTCATAACCAGTCTCCCTCCCAAGTGCAGCATAAGCTCCCCAGAGGAGGGTTCTGTTTGCTGTGGGAACCCACTGCCTGGACTGGTACCTTTCACATAGCAGGTACTCAACAAATCTAGGAGTGAGTGGAATCAGGTTGCGGCATCTCGCATCCAGCTTTTCTTTCTCTCCCTCTCTTTCATGTACTCTTTAAATATGTACATAATTTGGAGAATCAATTTTTAAAAATTGAAATGTAATTCACATAACATACCAAAAAATTCACCCTTTTACATAAAATTCAGGGAGTTTTAGTATATTCACAAGATCGTGCAACAATCACCACTAATTCCAGAACAAGGCTAGGCAAGGTGGCTCACGCCTGTAATCCCAGCACTTTGGGAGGCCAAGGCGGGCAGATCACGAGGTCAGGAGTTCAAGACCAGCCTGGCTGTTACCGGTGGGTCTTTGTTCTTAGAGCTCCCAAGTTGGTAGTGGCTGCTCCCAAGATGGCAGCAAGCCTTTTGTTCTCTGACCTAACATTCTTGGCCTCACGGATTCCAAGGAATTGAACCTTGGGCCATGCAGTGAGTGTTATAGCTCTATTAGAAGCCGTGGGTCATGGAAGAGAACCATGGAACCCAGCGACTAGTGTTTAGCTCGATTAGGACAAACTCGAGCACTGAGCCGCACAGGAACAATGGCGAGCCTCTAGCCCGAATGAGCAGCAATGGGCGCCTCGCTGGATCAGAAATGCAGCAGACACCCTGCTGGATCCGGAGGGGTGGAAGTCAACAGTGGGTCTGTGATGGCGGTGAACAGCAGTGAAGGATGGTGAGCGAAAGCTCAGCTCAAGCCAAAACAAACGTGGACCAGAAGAGTGTGCAGTTGCAAGATTTAATAGAGTGAAAACAGAGCTTCCATACAGTGGGAGGGGAACCAAAGGGGGTGGCCCACTCCCGCCTCAAATGCCTGGGGTTTATATCCCAATCATTGTCCCTCCTCCTGTGCTCTCAGATGATAGATGATTTGACTATTTCTTTACCTCCTGCTTTTAACCTAATTGGTATTTTAATGAGCCCTCTTTACTGCCTGATTGGTCAGGTGTGAGCTGAGTTACAAGCCCGGTGTTTAAAGGTGGGTGCGATCACCTTCCCCAGCTAGGCTTAGCAATTCTTAGTCGGCCTAGGAAATCCAGCTAGTCCTGTCTCTCATGGCCAACATGGTGAAACCTCGTCTCTAACTAATAATACAAAAAGTAGCCGGGCATGGTGGCGCACGCCTGTAGTTCCAGCTACTCAGGAGACTGAGGCAGGAGAATCGCTTGAACCCGGGAGGCAAAGGTTGCAATGAGCCAAGATCGCGCCACTGCACTCCAGCCTGGGCAACAGAGCGAGACTCCATCTCAAAGAAAAAGAAAAAAAAAATTAAAAATTAACTGGGTATGGTGACTCTTGCCTGTAGTCCCAGCTACTCAGAAGGCTGAGGTGGGAGGAACACTTAAGCCTGGGAATTCGAGGCTACAGTGAGCTATGACAGCGCCACTGCACTCTAGCCTGGGCGACAGTGAGACCTTATCTCAAAACAACAAAACAAAACAAAAAACCAAAAATACAAGGAACATGTCTACCACCGCAAAACTGGTACAGTTACTCTCCAACCCCACTTCCCTCCTACCCAGCCCCCAGCCCCTGGCAACCACTAACCTACCTTTCTTTCGTCTCTTGCAATTTACCTATTCTGGGCATTTCATATAAGTGGAACCATATGGTATATGATCTTTGAGTTTGGCTTCTCCTTAGCATGTTTTCAAGGTTCAGCCATGTTGTAGCATGTACCAGTACTTCGTTCCTGTCTGAATAACATTCCATTGTATGGATATACCACATTTTATTTATCAATTCATTGGCTGATGGGCATTATTTGTGTTGCTTCTATCTTTTGGATATTAGCACCACCGTGAATATTCATGTACAAGTTTTATGTGGACATGTTTTCAACTGCCTTGGGCATATACCTAGGAGTAAAATTGCTGAGTCATATGATACCTCTTATATTTAAAAATTTGAGGAACTTGGCTGGGCGTGGTGGCTCATGCCTGTAATTCCAACACTTTGGGAGGCTGAGACAAGACCAGCCTGGGTGACATGGTGAAACCCCGTCTCTACTAAAAATACAAAACATGTTTAAATTTTGAGGAACTGCCAGACTGTTTTCCCAAGAAGCTGCACCACATTACACTTTGACCAGCAATGTGAGGGTTCTGATTTCTCCCATCCTAGTCAATACTTATTATCTGACTTTCTGATTATAGCCATCATGGTGGGTGTGCAGTGGTATCTCATTGTGGTTTTCTGTTTTTTTTTGTTTTAGGGTTGGGGTCTTACTCTGTTGCCCAGGCTGGAGTACAGTGGTGTCATCATAGCTCACTGCAGCCTTGAACTCCTGGGCTCAAGCAATCTGCCCACCTCAGCCTCCCAGGAATATGCTACTACACCTGGCCAATTTCTCATTTTTATTATTATTTAGAGACAGGGTCTCACCCTGTTGCCCAGGCTGGAGTGCAATGGCGTGATCTCGGCTCAATGCAACCTCTCCCACCCAGGTTCAAGCGATTCTCCCACCTCAGCCTCCCCACTAGCTGGGACAACAGGCGCCCACCACCATGTCCAGCTAATTTTTGTGGGTTTTTTTTTTTTTTTTTTTTTGGTAGAGACAAGGTTTCATTCACCATGTTTGCCAGGCTGGTCTCAAACTCCTGACCTCAGGTGATCCACTCGCCTCGGCCTCCCAAAGTGCTAGGATTACAGGCATGAGCCACCATACCCGGCCTAATTTTTTATTTTAATTCTCTGTAGAGGCAGGGTCTCACTATGATGCCCAGGCTGGTCTCCAATTCGTGGCCCCAAGCCATCCTCCCACTTCTACCTCCAAAAATGTTGGAATTATGGACATGAGCCACCAGGCCCAACCACGTTATGGTTTTGATTTGCCCTAATTAGTAATGACATTGAACACCTTTTCATGTGCTTATTGACCATTTGTAGTGGTTATGGTTTTGATTTGCCCTAATTAGTAATGACATCGAACACCTTTTCATGTGCTTATTGACCATTTGTAGATCTTCTTTGGAGAAGTGTCTATTTGAATCCTTTGCCCATTTTTAACTGGTGTGTCTTTTTACTGTTGAATTTAAGAGTCCTTTATACATTTTGGACAGTAGACCCTTATCAGATATACAATTTGTAAATATTCTGCGGGTTGTCCTTTTACTTTAATAGTGTCCTTTGAAGCAAAAAGTTTCCAGTTTTGAAACAGTCTGATTTATCTATTTTTCTTCGGTTGTGTTTCTGCTGTCATATCTAATAACCATTGCCTAACCCAAGGTCATGAGATTTACACTTGTGTTTTCTTCTAAGAGTTTTACAGTTTTAGCTCTTACATTTAGGTATCTGATCCGTTTGGAGTTAATTTTTGTATATGGTGTGAGGTAAAGGTTCAACTTCATTCTTTGCAGATGGGTATCTATTAATAGTTGTTCCTGCACTATTTGTTGAAAACACTATTCTTTCCCCCATTGAATGGTCCTGCACCCTTGTTGAAAATCAATTGACAATAGATGTATGGGACCTGGGAGCTTTTTAAAAATACCTGAATTTCACCACAGGCAAAATGAGACAGATTCCCTCAAGGTGGGCCCTGGGCAATGACATTTGACAAAGTCCACCTAGTGAGTCTAACATGAAGTGAGGGCTGAGAGCGAACAATCTAATCCAACCCCCTTGTTCCATAAATGAAAGATCTGAGGTCTCAGTAGAACCAGAGGGGCTGGGTGCAGGGGCTCACGCCTGTAATCCCAGCACTTTGGGGGGGCTGAGGCAGGTGGATCATTTGAGGTCAGGAGTTCAAGACCAGCCGTCTTGAACTATTAGTAGAGACCAGCCGTCTCTACTAATAATACAGAAAAATTAGCCAGACGTGGTGGCACACGCCTGTAATCCCAGATACTCAGGAGGCTGAGGCAAGAGAATCGCTTGAGCCCAGGAGGCGGAGGCTGCAGTGAGCCGAGATTGTGCCACTGTACTCCAGCCTGGGCAACAGAGTGAGACTCTGTCTCAAAAAAAAAAAAAAAAGAGACTCTGCCACCAGATTTGTTAGACTGGAATGGATGCTTGGAGCTAAAAGAAACCCCAGGGTAAAGGGGGATAGGCGGCCCGGGGTAGGAGCTGCTCCCATCTGAGCCTGCCTCTGTTCTCAAACAGACTTCCGGAGCCATCCCACACATGGGAAACCAACCAACCAACCAACCAACCAACCCAAACCACTCAGATTATACGTCAAAGAACTGGGTTCTCCCCAAGGGGAAGAGCCTGCACTCCCCACACAGAGTCCAGGAAGAGATAGGTCTCAACCCAAGGCAGGTGGGGCCCACAGAGCGGGAGGCAGTGCTCAGCCCTCCAGGCAGAGCTTCTCACCAGGAGGAGGAGATGGTGAGGCCTACCTTGAAATAACTACCTTTAACAGAGGAAACTTACACTCCCAAAAGGCAGTTTTAAAATTAGGGCAGCAGCAGAGGCTGGGGCCTCCTCTGGCCCCATCTAGCATTTTGCTATGAAATGATCAGGCACACGGGGCCCTTCACCTGGAGAACAGGGAGGGTGAGCTACAAACACCCCATTTACTTTCAATGCTTACAGCTAAGCTCAGGTTTCAGGGTGGGGGTGGGGGACTACAGATCATCTGGTTTAAACTTTGATCTTTCAAAAAGATAGCCAAGTAAGCCAATTCTGGCCTTGAGACAGTGTGGCCTGGAATCTTAGCGAGTGCCTAAGGGGCCCAGTCTTTAGAATTAACGTTTTAGTCTGGACAAATCCGCCCAGGGATTTGTTCATCCAGACAAGAGGCCTTTGGCATTTGGGGAGAAAAGGTCAGACAGGGCACTGATGGGATTGTTATTTAGGCAAGTGCTACACACCCGTCCTGAGCTAGTGGGACCCCGGGAATTCCCCAGTAGATCTTGCCAGGTGCAGGAACTGCCACAGGAAAGGGGTGTCTGGAAGCAGGGCAAACACTCCTGTTTCTCCCTCTGTTCAATCTCTCCAGCAGATGGCTTGTTTTTTTGCTAGTATTCAAATGATCCGTAAACTGGGCCCTGCTGGTGGAAGGGTGAATATGCGAGGCCCTGGAGTAATCTTTAATCGTGGTAAGGGTTTTGTCTTTGACAACTGAAACTCCTGCTTGGTGATCCTTTTCCTTTTTCCTGTTTTGAGAGGCTCTGATTCAACAGTCCACCCGGCCAAGTCAGGGCCATCCTATTCCAGTGAAAGCAGAGAGGGGTGTCTCAGGGTGGGCATCCCAGCTAGGGTGGAGCTGGCTTGGTCTGGAAATCTGTGATCTTGACCATGTACAGCCCCCACAGACTTGGGCTTGTTTCATGCATACTCGGTCCCTGCGGGCTTCCTACTCTCTGAACCCAGGGTACGAAGATCCCTTTCAGAAGCAGAGTGAGTTTGGAGCACTGAGAGGATTAGGGGCCTTTATCCGCATAATTGAGTCCCCTCGATCCAGAGGTTGGGTGCTCACCAGCCTGCCTGCCCTTTGCTGAGGCCACAGGGCTCCTCTCCAGGCCTGCACCTCACAGAGGCTCCGTGAGCACTGGATGAGGGGGTGAATGAATCCCTGAGTCCATCTGGGAGGTGACTCCAACCAGAAATTTCAGGCTTGGAGTTTGAAGTTTGCCAGCAGGCAACTAATTCGTGGTGTTAAGAGTTACCTAAACTTGCCCTTAGCCTCCTGTGAGTGGGTGTTGGCTCCCAAGCACTAGGATGGTGTAGGGTACACAATTTGGGTGGGTTGGCCAAGCACGGTGGCTCACACCTGTAATCCTAGCACTTTGGGAGGCCAAGGTGGGTGGATCACGAGGTCAGGAGTTCGAGACCATCCCGGTCAACATGGTGAAACCCTATCTCTACTAAAAATACAAAAATTAGCTGGGCTTGGTGGCATGTGCCTGTAATCACAGCTACTTGGGAGTCTGAGGCAGGAGAATCGCTTGAACCCAGGAGGCAGAGGTTGCAGTGAGCTGAGATCACGCCACTGCCTTCCACCCTGGCTAAAGAGCGAGATTCCGTCTCAAACAAACAAACAAACAAACAAAAAGCCATTTGGGTGGGTTAAGAAATCACTCTGGATTTGGGGGTCTCTTTTTTTTTCCCTTGACAATATTCAGTCCATCTCAGATTCCTTGGATGCATGAGACAGACAACATTAGCAGTGTCTTGGGAGGATTTAAAAAAAGAAAAACCTGACCATGACCACAGAGAGAGAAAGAAGAGAAAAGAAAAGAAGAGATCAAAATAGGATTCTATAGCCAAAGAGTAATTATAGGATCGGGAGGAACCAGTAGAGACTGAAACCTCTGACTCATAATTGCTCCATTAAAAATGGTGAAACATCTGCCCTGGCCGAGGAACAGGGCTACACTCTCACCCTGGCTCGCCCCACCTACAAGCCTTCCTGGGGCTGGCATGAAGGGGTGGCTGTCTCCAGGAGCGGTGTGGGTATGACGTCAAAGGACAAAGGGGCCCCTGCTGCTCTCAGGGGCAGATCTGACTCCTGGCCCCAAAACAAGGGAGGAGTGGTTTGTCCTGCAGGGGGTGGGGGACCAGGGTGGGGCAGCACTGGGAAGGTGTGGGTTCAGTTTTCTAGGAAAGGCCTAGGTGGTCCTGAGTGCTCTCACTACACCATGGGAAGAGGACCGAGGAGGACTCTGGGTACCATGTCAACCTGCCCCATGAAAGCCACTAAGGGGCTGAGCCTGAACCAACAACAGCAAGAGGCATTTTTATGACTGGGTGGGGCATAAGGCCTACCCTACTATAATTACACAAATGACTCACATTTATTGAGCACTTAGTGTGTACCAGGGTTTGTTCTGCGTGCTCTAATTTTACAGATAAGGCTCTGAATGCTGGGGGATATACCCATGGCCACAGGGCTGTTAAGCAGCAGAGCTGGGACCCCCGCAACCCCCAAACTAAACTCAAGCCTCACCAAGTCTGCTTTCCACGTCTTGTGTTTGCTCTGTTAGGCCCTGTGTGAGCTACTTCACATGGTTCCTCTCATTTGATCTACTCTAAGGAAGACACAAAACCAAGGGCAGTCCCAGGAGGTCCTTGGCAGATTCCAGCAGCCACAGTGCAGCAGGCCCCATGCTGAGCCACTGGGTGAGTCATGGGGGAGGGCGGGCAAGTCAGGTGACCGGGTGAGAATCAGAGCTATGCTGAGGTGGCCTGGTTACCTTGACATTCCTGTGATTCTGCCAAGGTAAAAAGTAATCCAAGGAGTTTGCCTTATATGGGCATGATGACAGATTTCAACAAGACAGCATGTTAACTGACCCCATACCAAATCGGTTCCCGGACTGCACAGGCAACGCCCGATAAAGCTGCTCTGGAAATATAGGAAATAACAATTTATGATGGGCTATCACCGGTGACTCACAAAGGTGCAGCCCAACTGCCATTGTGTGTCTTTTAGAGAAGGGGGGGAAAAGTTGGTGGCCTGTGGGCCAAATGGCTGTCTCATTCTCCCTCCCACCAATGGCCTAGGAGGCCTGGCTCAGACCCCTCCTCTGTTCACGGGGCCTGGCTCAAGGAGGGCTGGAGGAAATCAATTTCAAGCTGGGGCTGAACAGCAAGTCCTGTCTGGGTTAGAGAGCCCTCACCACCTGCTTTCTCTGGAGGAGGGCGGGGGGCGAGAAAGAGGAGAGGCAGGGGCTGCACTGGGAGGGAGGCAGACCCTTTCAAGCCAGCACGGAACAAAATGGTTAGGTCTGAGGGCACTGCACTGCATGAGAACCAAAGAAACTGACTGGGCCTCACAGGATTCCAGAGTCATCCCAGCCACTCCAAACCGCTGGCACCAGATAGCCCCTCCCAGGCACTCCCCAGTCCCCCAACAAGGGGGAGACTCACTGCTCTGAGCCTCTCCCAAACTTCATTCGTTCTCATTTTAAAATGTACTAGGCATCTATCACGAGCCATACACTATCCTGAGCACTGGGATTAAACAGACATCCCTGCCCTCATGCAACTTACAGTCTAGTGGAAGAGCCAATACAGACAAAAACAAGCTAAGGAGACAGGGATGGGTACCATAACACGGAGTAATGTGACTGGGGAGGGGAGGGAATCAAGCTCAGCAGGTCAGGAAAGGCCTCTCAGTGGAGATGACATTTGAGGCTGAATAAGTAGAAAGAGCCAACCAGGGGGAGATCATTCCCAGGGAAGGTGCTAGGTGGGAACTCGGGCCTGGTGAGTGTGGCTGGAGCAGAAGGAGCTTGTAGAGGGTGGGAGCCTGAGGAGCTTCGGCTGGCAGTGTGGGTTTCATCCTAAGAAGAGGAAGCCTTTGGAGGGCCTCATGGGGGAGGAGCACAGCCAGATTTCGCGCGGAGAACGCCGCCCCAATCCCAGTGGCCGTGTGTGGACTGCAAGGTGGTGGCTTGGGTGAGGGTTCCAGCAGTGAGGCTGGAGAGAACTAAAAGGACCTGGGGTAGATTCTGAAGGCAGAGCTAACAGGACTTCTTGACCTTCATCAATGCCTCCCCTCTACAGGGCCAGGTATGGTGGCTCACACCTCTAATCTCAACACTTTGGGAGGCCAAGGCGAGAGGACTGCTTGAGGCCAGGAGTTCAATCCAGCCTGGGCAACATAGTGAGACCCTGTTTCAATTTGGAAAAAAAACAAACAAAAAAAGAGACAGGGCATGGTAGCTCACACCCGTAATCCCAGCACTTCGGGAGGCTGAGGCAGGCAGATCACTTGAGGCCAGAAGTTTGAGACCAGCCTGGGCAAGATGCAAGATCCCATCTTTATTAAAAATAAATAAACAAAATTTAAAAAGAAAAAAGAAAAGCAGTTGCTTTGTTGGAAAATATCCTCTTTGCTTTAAATCTGAAATCCTCCAGGCCAGGAGCGGTGGCTCACGCCTGTAATCCCAACACTTTGGG
This sequence comes from Homo sapiens, assembly GCF_000001405.40. NCBI lineage: Eukaryota > Metazoa > Chordata > Mammalia > Primates > Hominidae > Homo > Homo sapiens. The sequence continues at coordinate 91,723 of NW_014040929.1, read as the reverse complement.
AGGCTGAGGTGGGTGGATCACTTGAGGCCAGGAGCTTGATACCAGCCTGGTCAACATGGCAAAACCCCGTCTCTACTAAAAATACAAAAATTAGCCAGGTGTGGTGGTAGGCCCCTGTGGTCCCAGCTACTCAGGAGGCTGAAGCACGAGAATCCCTTGAACCCAGGAGGCGGAGGCTGCAGTAAGCCGAGATGGCGCTACTGCACTCCAGCCTGACCAACAGAGCAAGACTCCATCTCACCCAAAAAACAAAAAAAAAGATTGAAAGTTGAAACCTGCCTTCAGGTAGCATCCCATGTATCAGGAAAACTGAGATTCAGGACAAGGAGAGAGAATCACAACCAAGGGTCTGGGGGAGACCCTGACAGTGCTGCCCTGGAGGAGTGCACAGCTCGGTCAGAGAGGGACACTGGCGAGCCAGTCGCTACAGGGAGGTGTGATCTGAGGACAGCAAAGGTCAGGTGACACCTGATCTGGGCCTTGAAAGGAGAGCGCGATTGCGATCAGTGGTGACCTGGAGAGAAGGTTGTTCTGCAGAGTGGGAACACCAAGGGCAAGAAAGACAAAAGTACCACAGATGTTTGGGGACCCCAGGAGAAGTGGCAGGGATGGTGTCAGCCGGGGCCAGAAGGTGGAGAGACTGAAGAGCTCAGAACCTGCTCTCTGGGCAGTGGGGGGTGGAGATCTCCCAGAGTAACCTGACTAGATACCAGTCTCAGAAAGGTAGGGTCTAGGGAGCCTCAATCCAAACCAGGAGACTGGAGAAGGCCAGTCAGGAGGCTGCTGAGGGAGACATGGGCACAGATGACGACAAGAGCCAACGTTGGAGCATTTCCTGTGCATCAGATACCATCTTCACAGAGTGGTTAAGTCATCTGTCCAAAGCCACACAAGCTCAGGCAGCCAGCAGCAGCACTGTGAGTTTAGAATCTGCTTTTTTTTTTTTTTTTTTTTTTTTCTAGAGATTGGAGTCTCACTCTGTCACCCAGGCTAGAGTACAGTGGCGCAATCTCAGCTCACTGCAACCTCCACCTCCCGGGTTCAAGTAATTCTCCTGCCTCAGCCTCCTGAGTAGCTGGGATTACAGGCACATACCACCACATCCAGCTAAGTTTTGTATTTTTAGTAGAGACGGGGTTTCACCATGTTGGCCAGGCTGGTCTCGAACTCCTGACCTCAGGTGATCTACCCGCCTTGGCCTCCCAAAGTGCTGGGATTACAGGTGTGAGCCACCGCACCCGGCCAAGACTCTGCACTTTTAAACCCTCACTATATGGTCCTGAGTAAGGACAATGGTAGGAATAAAGAGAAGGAGGAAGGTGAGGGTTCTAAGAGATATTCAAGGGAAAGAAATCAAACTTGGTGCCTGTTACAGGATGAGAAGTCAAAAGCTGACTCCAAGGTTTCTGACTCGGATGGCTGACAAATGGGCAATGCCAAGCCCAAGAAGTGGGACTTGAAAATGAGTTTGGTCTCAGACACGCTGAGACTGAAGTACGTACTGCACAAGCAGTGGGCATCAGGCAACGTCAGTCTAAAGTTCAGCAAACAGGTCATTTGCTCACGTGGGCATTCATTCAGTCACTCATTCAACTACTTCCTGAGGCCGGGCGCAGTGGCTCATGCCTGTCTGTAATCCCAGCAATCTGGGAGCCAAAGGCGGCCAGATCACTTGCAGTCAGGACTTCGAGACCAGCCTGGCCAAATGGTGAAACCCCATCTCTACTAAAAATACAAAAATTACCCAGACGTGCTTGCTTGAACCCAGGAGGTGGAGGTTGCAGTGAGCCAAGATTGTGCCACTGCACTCTAGCCTGGGCGACTGAGTGAGACTCTGACTTTAAAAAAAAAAAAAAAAAAAAAAAAAAAAAAAAACTTCCTGAGCTCCAGCTATGGACAGGTGTGGTGCTGGGGATACACGGACAAATACAAGGTTGCTCCATCAAAGACCTCAGCGTCTGATAGGGGAGAGAGATGCATCAGTAAATAACTGCGATAGAGCGTGGTGAGTGAGTCAGGACTACAGGCATGGGCATCATCCCCACAGATGGGGTACTTAAGGCTGAGGGGAGGGGGTAAGTTCCTTCAGGGAAAAAGGACATTGTGAAATGCCCATGTGTAAGCAGTGGACAGAGGGAGAGAATTTAGCCATAGGAGATGAGGAAGAAGAGTCAGAGAAACAGAGAGACTGTGATGTCAAGGAAGCCAAAGGGAGTTTTTGTTTTTTTCTTAAGACATGGTCAGAAGCATTAAATATAACAGTATGTGGTTATGTTTAAAAATACATACATTGGCCGGGTGCGGTGGCTCACACTTGTAATCCCAGCATTTTGGGAGGCTAAGGTGGCAGAATCGCTTGAGGCCAGGAGTTCTGAGACCAGCCTGGGCAACAAAGCAAGCCCAGGAGTTCAGAGGCCGCAGTGAGCTATGATCTCACCACTGTACTCCAGCCTGGGTGACAGGGCGAGACCCTGTCTCTAAAAAAATACACACACACACACACACACACACACACACACGCACACCCAAATCTATTTGAGCACGTATGGGTAATGTCTGGGGGGAGTGTGTTGGGAGACACTGATGAAACAAGTCTGGCAAAATGCTGATAATCACTGATGCAGGTGACAGGTACAAAGGAGTCCCACCACTTTTGCATATGGTCTGTGTGTGTGGGTTATGTATCATATATTGCAGAGGTTGAGGGGAGTGAGGTGGGGACCAGCACCTGTATCCCCAGCTCCTGACACAGTGCCGGGCACACTGGAGGTGCATGGTACACCATGGTAAGTGATGCGCAGATGCCCTCGGGGATGGAAACCAGGCAGTCTCTGGAGACAGAAGACTCAGTGGACTTGTGGGGCTGAGAAGTATTCGGGAAATAAGAAAATGGAATCCACAAGGAAAGGCTTACACATAAACTGCGCCCAGGCCAATAGCCAAGCACGTGTCTTTTTCCCAGGATGTAACCCAGCTTGGAGGCCATACAGCACCATTCTGTTTTCCTACAGGAGAAAGACTGGATTGCTCCAAGGTAAAAGCTGAACTTTCCCACTCCCACACTCCAGTTTCAAATTCCCACTAAGTTCCCTGTGTTTTCCTTCTCTCATTATCCTGCAAAGGCCGCTGGGCAAAGCAAAGCTGGGCCCCTTTCAAAGGCATATCAGAGCACACCCCACTACCATCAGATAAACAAGCCACCTCTTTCTTGCTTTTCTCCTCTCCTGTGGAACAAGGTTGCATTTAAAAGGAGAAACAGTCCCGGGTTTTGTCTCCGAACAGAGCGAGGTCCCAGGGGCAAGGACTTGGGGTAACACACAGTGGCTGATTCCACGGGATTGGTCACCACTGACAGCGAAGAAGGTGTGGAGGGACACAGGAGACAAAGCCCAAGCCCAAGCCAGACAGCAGAGAGAAAAAGGGTGGCTGTGTCGCCCTGGGTCCCATGGCCCGGAGAGAGCCAGGGAGCTATCAGATTCTGCTCAACCACACTGCGTATCCTCTATCTTTCTCTAGATTTTCCATGGTACTGACTTCTCTGCCGATGCCCCATAAATAACAATGGCCACCAAAGACAGCCTAGACTTCCCTTCCTTCCCTGGTATTGCAGGTCTCGAGGCTCAGCCCAATAAATGGAGACGAGTGGGCTGTCCCAGAACACAGCACCATAGTAAACCCAGCTGCAGGAAGGTGGCCAGCCAGTCAAACCACAGGGCTGTGTTCTTAGGTCTTTAGCTATCCCTAGAAACACTTTACTGTCGCTTTCACGATGTAAGTTAATTTTACCTGCAGGTAGCAATTTCTGTATAAAAAGGAAGTCTCAAAAAGGAAAAAACAAAAAGGTCTACAGCGTTTTAGCCACACGTATCATTTTTAAGGGCAAGGGCCTTCTCTTTGTCTTACTCACCTCTGTGTCCCTGCTGCCCGGACACAGGTCAATCCTAGCTCAGTAAACATGAGCACAAAATAGGATGAATTATCCTGTGCTAACGATGATTTTCCCACCTCTCCATGGGACAGTGATGTCTCCCTCTTCTGCCTACTTGCAAAGCATCCTGTTTGGCCAGGCGCGGTGGCTCACACCTGTAATCCCAGCACTTTGGGAGGCTGAGACAGGCAGATGACTTGAGGCCAGGAGTTTGAGACCAGCCTGGCCAACATGGTGAAACATTGTCTCTACCAAAAATACAAAAATTAGCCGGGTATGGTGGTGTGCACCTGTAATCCCAGCTACTTGGGAGGCTGAGGCAGGAGAATCACTTCAACCCGGGAGGTAGGGGTTGCACCCACTGCACTCCAGCCTGGGCAACACAGCGAGACTCCGTCTCAAAAAAGAAAAAGAAAAAAAAGAAAAGCATCGCATCCTGTTTGTGTTTCATATCTAGCAGGGACTGATGCAGAACTCAGGACAGCTGGCTGAACACTGGGCCTAGAAGTGTCCCAGGTGAGGACTTCTTATGACCTTCCAGAGCACACTTTTAGATGGGATGCAATGAGCCTGGCAGGGGTGAGTGGGGCCTGGGCGGTCATGATACCCTTGTCCTCAGAGGATGGACCATGGGTGATCCCTCTACTCCTAAAGCCAAGCAGAAAGACAGAATGGATCTGCCACTCATCCATCCAGCCACTTGTTTGAGTGTCTCGACAAGTGATGTCTCCATCTTCTGCCCACTTGAAAAGCATCCTGTTTGTGTTGTGGCAGATCCATTCTGTCTGTTTGGCTATCTATTCATTCAATACATATTTATTTAGTGCACACTTACATTTGCCTTGACAATGTCCCACATGGTAGGGACACAGTGGTGAACAAAATAGATTCTCTCTCTGCTCTCGTGACCCTCGAGAGGGAGAGCCAAGGATGGTTGGAGTTAAAAGGAGAAGTAGAGGTGATGGACATGCTCCTAACCTAGGCTGGAGGTGTCAGGTGCGACGGCCCTACAAATAGTGAAGCATAAACTGCCATCTGAAGAATGAGGAGGAGGTAGGTGGCGAGCTGAGGCGAAAGGGGCAGAGGCAAGGGCCCCGTGTGAAGTCCCTCAGGAGGCAGGAATGAGCATGGAGCAGAGAGGCAGCTGGCATGCGCCCGGAGCACAGAGAGGAGAAAACAGATCCTGCAGGGCCTTGGGGACTTGCAGGTTTGATCCTGAGGGCAAGGGACACTGATCAAGATGTCAAGCAGGATGTTCTTTGGCCCCTATGTGAAGAATAGATGGGAGTGAGTGGGGGGATGCAGGGAAACCCGCCAGGAGCTGTTGCTCGAACTTGGCATCAGCACCTGGGCCACTCTAGTTCTCCACTGGTGCTCCAGGAGCTAGAGCACCTGGTCATGCTCTTACAAAGGGACAATGAGGCTGCTTCAGGAGAAGCTGTGGGACCTCAGGGCTTCCTGAGATGAAAAGCTCCTACTCAGGCCTTTCCGGGCCTGTCTGTGGTAGAGAGCAGAAAGGCAGCCTGTTTACCTTCCACATCCGGCCCCAGAGGCCCTGCCCGGGTGGGAGGTTTCCCAGAGGGAAGGACACATGTGGTGTTCTGCAGGATGCAAAAGACCTCTGTAAGCCTCCTCCCGTGCACTCTGAGGCCCCCTGGCCTCCCTCAGCCACGTCTCCAGCCCAGTCGCAGGACACTGCTATACAACACACTCGTCTCTACTGGCTCATATTCCTTATCCAGCAATACCAAGAGTCAGCCCCTAAACCACAAAGGTTCCATCCACCACTCTGTGTCTGAGATAATCGGGGATGAGTAAGAGATTGCTGCTTCTTTCCAGGAATCTTACTTCCAGGACCCCTTAAATGCTCAATGCTTACTTATCTAGCAGTTGGCTTTCTGGAACTCAGGATAAATTTTCAAAGAACCGCTGGCTTCAAATGCAGACACCATAAGACATCTCTATGGCATTAGTTCTTTGGCTGAAGTTTCCTAGTTGAATAAAGATTCCCAGATGCCTCGTCCCTCAACTAATAACTCCCATATGGGACTCCAGATCCCACAGAACAAGACCCTATAAAGGCTCCATCCCGCTGCATCCTGACAGCCCTGTGGTAGTCAGATTATTGGCCCCATTTTGTAAAAGAGAAAATGGAGACTTCCTTGCCCAAGGTCCCACAGTAAGTAGCAGGGCCAGGCTGAGAATCTGAGTCCATGGCTTCACAGCTTACGTTTGGGAGAAGCCAAGTCTACAGCCTTCCAACACAGGCGAGAGCTGCGGGCAGCCTCTCAGCACCCAACAACACACTGGGGCCCTCTGCTTGGCCTGGCTGGGTATGGCAGGAGCCCCAGGAACCTCCGTACCCAGGCCTTGTGCTCTATGAGGCCTCTCAGTTGGGTAAGGAGAAGCTGGGCCCACCCAGCTGACCTTTCATCAGGAAACCTTGTGGTAGAGGCTGAAACCTCTGCTCAGCACCTCACCAGCCAAAGTGCACATGATAGCAACATGGACTTGAGCCTGATAGGTGGAGGCTTCCACAGCCAGCGATCAAGAACGCGGCTCAAGATGTTCACAAAGATCCTCCCTCTTGAAAGAAATTTCTGGGCTTATTAAAAAGCAACAAAGTCACCAGGGGCAGCGGCTCACGCCTGTAATCCTAACACTTTGGGAGACCAAGGTGGAGGATCACTTGAGCCCAGGAGCTCAAGACCAGCCTGGGCAACATGGTGAGACCTCACCTCTACAAAAAAAATCAAAAAATAAGGCAGGAGAATCACTTGAGCCCAGGAGGTTAAGGCTGCAATGAGCCATGATTGTACCACTGTGATCCCACTTGGGTGACAGAGCAAGACCCTGCCTCAAAAATGCAACAAAACCAAGAAAGCAACACCCAAGCCAGGTTGGCTGTACTCTCCCATATGCTTTCCAGGCCAGGATTAATTCTTCGGCTGGTTTCAGACCTCCGATTTCAAAAATATCTAGTTTGTGCTTGTCTACAAAGGAATGTGCCTGGGCATCTCCCACCAGCAACACAGAAAACAACTCCTACTGCTATCACCTGTTCTTTGAGATCAAGCCATATATAGGCAGACTGAGCCCAGAGGTTTGGCCACAGAGCTAATTCAACTCTCCAACTCCACACGGCTGTTTAGACAGCTTCCCCCAGATACGTCATTCAGCCACATGCTTGTCTCCAATCTCAGATGCCTGGATGAAGGTGAAACACCCAAGGACTCGTACAACTCTGGGCTACTGAATCAGCGATATCACGAGTTCTCTCCTTTCGCCATACCCTATTCTCCAAGACCTGAATGGTAGGCACACTGATGTCACCATATGCCTGAATTCCAAGAGGCACTGTGGGCCCTGAGTCTTAATACCAGGGACACGAAGTCAGAGGTAAAGAGAATCGATACTCGGCCCTAATGTTAGAGAAATAACCTAAAAAGGGAAGAGTCTGGTTGGATTCTCAGTTCTGTCTTTTACTGACTGAGGGGCCTGGGGCAAGTCACGTCACCTCTCTGAACTTTAGTTCTCTCATCTGTAAGGGTAGGGATAAAAATGCTGGGACTGACGTAAAGTGAAGCTGAAGAAAGAGACGGAATGGTGCTATCTGCTTTAATGAGCTGTGTTAGGGATCTGTCCCAGCATCGAAACAGATATGCTCCACGGCATTCCACTCGGCTGGGAAGTTCTTTTTTCACTGTTGTACACCCAGTACCTAAAACAGTGACTAGCACGCAATAAATATTTGTAGAATCAAAGCTCTCATTGCAGCTAGAATAAAATCCAAGATCCTCGCTACCGGCACATTCTGGCTGCTGTCACCCCTCTGACTTCAACTCACACTGCTCTCCCCACTGTCTTGGTCTCATTTTATTTCTCTCTTCCCACAACCCTGGGTCCTCCTGCCTAGAACAGTGTTCCCTTCTCTGAGGTTGGCTCTAACTCTCCCTCCAGGCCTCACTTCACTGTCATCATCTTGGAAAGTCTCCCCTGACAGCTCCCACACAATCTATTGCAAGTCCCCCACTGTCCCCTCTTAAAGGACTCTGGTCTTTTCCTTCATAAAAATAATCACACCGGGCGCAGTGGCTCACGCCTGTAATCCCAGCACTTTGGGAGGCCGAGGCGGGTAGATCACAAGGTCAGGAGTTCAAGACCAGCCTGGCCAAGATGGTGAAATCCCATCTCTACTAAAAATACAAAAATTAGCCGGACGTGGTGGCAGGCACCTGTAATCCCAGCTACTCAGGAGGCTGAGGCAGAGAATTGCTTGAACCTGGGAGGCAGAGGTTGCAGTGAGCTGAGATCACGCTACTGCACTCCAGCCTGGGTGATAGAGACTCCATCACAAAAAAAAAAAAAAAAAAAATTATACATATATAAATATATATATATAAAAATATATATAAATATATAAATATATATAAGTATATATAAATATATAAATATATAAATATATATAATATATATAAATATATAAATATATATAATATATATAAATATATAAATATATATAAATATATATGAATATATATAAATATAAATGAATATATATGAATATATATAAATATATATGAATATATATAAATATATATAAGTATATATAAATATATATAAGTATATATGAATATATATAAATATATATTCATATATATAAATATATATGAATATATATATAAATATATATAAATATATATGAATATATATATATAAAAAATAAAACCACAATTTGGAACACTCTATGTATGTCTTGGGTTTTCATTGTTGGTATTTTTTAATGCCTATTGTCCCCGACTAGGCTGTGTGCTCCATGAGGACAAGAAGAAGGACTATTCTGTTCACATCTCATTACTCAGCACCTTGTTTACGGCACATAGTGGGTATAAATAAATGCTCAATAAATGATGAATAGGCCGGGTGTGGTGGCTCATGCCTGTAATCCTAGCACTTTGGGAGGCTGAGGTGGGGGGATCACCTGAGGTCAGGGGCTTGAGACCAGCCTGGCCAACATGATAAAACCCTGTCTCTATTAAAAACACAAAAACTGGCCAGGCATGGTGGTGCATGCATGTAATCTCAGCTAATTGGGAAGCTGAGGCAGAAGAATCGCTTGAACCCAGGAGGCAGAGGTTGTAGTGAGCCAAGATTGTGCCACTGCACTCCAGCCTTGGAGACAGAGTGAGACTGTCTCCAAAAAAAAAAAAAAAAAAGAATGGATGGCCAACCCCATCATCTCCATCAATCATGCTGAGATGATCAATCACTTAAAAATGGTTACAGGGGCCGGGCATGGTGGCTCACGCCTGTAATCCCAACACTTTGGGAGGCCAAGGCAGGTGGATCACTTGAGTTCAGGAGTTTGAGACCAGCCTGACCAACATGGAGAAACCCCGTCTCTACTAAAAATACAAAATTAGCCGGGTGTGGTGGCACATGCCTGTTATCCCAGCTACTCAGGAGGCTGAGGCAGGAGAATTGCTTGAACCCGGGAGACAGAGGTTGCGGTGAGCCGAGATCGTGCCATTACACTCCAGCCTGGGCAACAAGAGCGAAACTCCATCTCAAAACAAACAAACAAACAAACAAAGAACATAGATCAAATAATAGAACCTTGGCAGGGTGTGGTAGCTCACACCTGTAATCCCAACACTTTGGGAAGCCAAGGCGAGTGGGTCACTTGAGGTCAGGAGTTCAAGACCAGCCTGGCCAACATGGAGAAACCACGTCTCTACTAAAAATACAAAAATTAGCCAGGTGTGGTGGCATGCATCTGTGGTCCCAGCTACTCAGGAGGCTGAGGCAGGAGAATTGCTTGAACCTGGGAGGTGGAGGTTGCAGTAAGCCGATATCACGCCACTGTACTCCAGCCTAGGCGACAGAGAAAGACTCCGTCTCAAAAAAAAAAAAAAAAAAAAGAACCACATGTAAGAAATACTGCTGTGTGGGCCATACGTCTGGCAGGAAAGCCCACTATGAGAACTCCCGCCATGTTCGTCCCTACCCTAATGTACCTTAGGTGGCACACCCAGGGAGAGCGAGAAACTCTCTCATCCTAATCGCTGTAGTATAGCAGAATAACATGACAGGCCAGCAGGACAATGAAGTCTACGCTGCCCAGCTCTTTTTCTGGGTGGAAAGCCCTCTTTCCCTCACAGAATTTCCATCCATGGAGAGCAGTGAGCAATGCAAAGCATTACAACCATTTTTCTTCCAGCTATTTCTAGGCACACAAATAACATCTAAGGACTCAAGGCCAGCCTGAGAAACAATTGAGCCAGGAAATACTCAAGCCAGTGCAGAGGTAACAGAGCCTAAAAAAGTTAAAAGCAGAGGGCGATGCCTTCATGGCGAGCTTCCTGGCTTTTCCCAGACAGACTGCCTGCTCCAAATGCGAAGTTTGATAAGGACTGTGGGGCTAGTACTCCAATCACAGGGACTCAATTAGAGTTTAGGAAAAAATGGCCTGAAGTTTTCAGGGATAAGTGTCCAAATTTGTTTCCAAGTCAACAAATTCATTGCACATCTACTATATCCCATTTTCCTGAAATCCATCAACTCTCCTATCAATAAGAAACGCTGCATTCAGGCTTTTCCATTTACAAAGATCTCAGGATGGATCTCTGTCACAAAACCTGGACTGCCAGTATCTTCCCAAAGTCAAATTTAAGAGATCAATCCTAAAGAAACTATTTCTGTCCATCTGCCACATGGGTACAAATTCTGAACTGGCAGTTCATTTATTAATAGAAAGCTGGCATTGTTCACCAGGTTATTGTGCGTGCAGAATGGCTGCCTCTGTAGAAAAGTGTTGCTTTGGGCTACCCAAAACAAACAAACAAAAAAACTTTCCACTATTTTGGTTCACAAAAACCTGAAGCCTAAAAATATGCAATATGGTGGGAGGAATTTTGAGGAGTCAACTCTTAATTATCTATGGTGATGGGAAAGGGGGAGGAGTCCGGAGGCTGGAAAACCACAGCTAAAGCAAACCCTTTTTACTACCATCCACTTCAACCACCTTTTATCAGAGCTGTCACTAAGGGGCAAAGTACAATTTTCTCGCTCCTAGTGAGAGGATTAAGCAGCAGCAATTCAGACAAGAGGAAAGGGGAGACTAGAGGAGAGGCAGAGACAGGGTCAAGACCATGCAAGGTTAGGGGTCACAAATGGGTAGCTCTTCACACCCAATAGGCCCTATTTTGTATGGCCTGCAGGTTTTTTTTTTTTTTTTTAAGTTGGAGTATTGCTCTGTCACCAGGCTGGAGTGCAATGGCGACATCTCAGCTCACTGCAACCTCCGACGCCCTGGTTCAAGGGATTCTCCTGCCTCAGCCTCCCGAGTAGCTGGGATTACAAGCACAAGCCACCACGCTCAGCTAATTTTTGTATTTTTAGTAGAGATGGGGTTTCACCATGTTGGCCAGGATGGTCTCAATCTCCTGACCTCGTGATCCACCCTCCTCAGCCTCCCAAAGTGCTGGGATTACAGGCGTGAGCCACTGTACCCGGCCAGGTTTTTAAGTTGAATGAAATGCCCCATAAAACTCTCCATTTCCAGCTTCGTGAAGTCCCAGGTCCCCATTCCCACCTGGCCACCATCAGCTAGAGCTCTGCAGTGGCCACCCCAGTCCCCACCCAGGCTACTTCCCTCCATTTTGTCACCTCACCTACCATGTGATAATCCAAGACCACAGTCCCTCAGCCCCAGGAGAAGAGAACCAGGTGCACACTCACATCCATTCTCCTCACAAGGGTCCAAATGACAGGATCACCTGCTCTGAGCAACAAGATACAGGCCGGCCTATCCTTGCTGTTCCTGAAAGGGGGCTGCATGTGGAGCTGCCCTGGCTTTGCTTCCACCTTCCTGTGACCTCCACCCCACCATGCTCTTGCACTCCCACAGATGGCCTGAAATCCCAGGTGGAAGTGGAGGGTGTTACGTGATCCCCAACTCCCTTGAGTGGAAACACCAAGTTTCCTAGAGGACCTAGGAGATGTTCTTTCCAGCCACCCTATCTGAATGGTGGGGCTGGGAGGGGCATATGGAGGAGAAAGGGGTGGCTAGGAAAATGTTAGAAATACCAGATACACTGGCTCTGGGGACCCCTGAGGAACGACCCCCTTCAGCTGCCAACACTTTCCAATTGGCGCTAAGAGTGAACAGCTATTTCCACTAAAGATCAGAAAAGGACTGAAGTTTCCATACATTGAAGACTGAGCCTTGAGATTCTTGGCTGGACTGCAATTGCCTCTCCCTCCTTCCCCCAACGCTTGCTTCCAGCTACCCAAGGAGTCTTTTGCTTGTGGAGCTAGTGAGCCAGCATTCTGAGTGACATATTCCAAAGTGTCCCCAAATAACAAAATCCCAGGGCTGCAACCATGAGGGTGTCAGCTCCGGCACTGTTACCAGCCTGTTAAAAAGTGGTGCAAACCTCACCAACTTCCTGAGGCCACGCTGGGCTCCGCTTCCTGGCAGTTACCACAAAAATGTGGCACCAAATGCAGCTACTAAAACAAGCAGCAGCTCGGGCAACCCAAGGGCCACCATCTTCCTAGGTGATGGCTAGGGATGGCTTCTGCCACCCACACCACAGTGATCTCCTCCCCAGCTACCTGTGCTCTAAGTAAAAACAGCATGCTTGCAGCTTCAAGACTAGTCCCCTACCCAGTCCCATCTACTCCAAACCAGACTGGGTCACCTATGCCTTTCCAATGTAGAAATTCTTCAGATGCCATTGACAGGGGACACCTCCAAACTCTAGTTTCCTTGGCCAGGAGATGCATCCTTCTTGCCTCCTTCTTGCCTCAATCTGTCATTCCTTTCCAGCAACATGCCCCAAGCCAGGAACTAAGAAAAAGCTGGATTTTGGCTGGGCGCGGTGACTCACGCCTGTAATCCCAGCACTTTGGGAGGCCAAGGCAGTGGATCACCTGAGGTCAGGAATTCGAGACCAATCTGGCCAACATGGTGAAACCCCGTCTCTACTAAAAATACAAAAATTAGCTGGGCACGGTGGCAGGCGTCTGTAATCCCAGCTAGTTGGGAGGCTGAGGTAGGAGAATCGCTTGAACCCAGGAGACAGAGGTTGCAGTGAGCCAAGTGCATACCACTGCATTTCAGCCTGGGCGACAGGGAGAGACTGTCTCGAAAAAAGAAAAAAAGCTGGATCCCAAGGTGACTCCTCAGCCCTGGGGAGCCTACGAAACCATACACCAAGAACCAAACACACAACTCTCCTGGAGGTCGATTTATAAGGGAGGCAGCTCTGAACACCTGAGCTCCGAGACACACAGAGCACATTGGAAAAACCCTTTTCAAACCCATGAAGGCGAAGTCAATGGGTTTACTTCAGTAAGTCAGTGAGCAGTAAAACAAGACCACATTTACATCTGCATATCGCCCTAACACTGTTCACTTCCATCATGCAATTCATTGTCCATCTTTTCTTTTTTTCTTTTTTCTTTTTTTGCGATGGAGTCTCACTCTCTTGCCAGGCTGGAGTGCAGTGGCACGACCTCGGCTCACTGCAACCTCCGCCTCTCAGGTTCAAGCAATTCCCCTGCCTCAGCCTCCTGAGTAGCTGGGACTACAGGCGCGCACCACCATGCCCAGCTAATGTTTTGTATTTTAGTAGAGACGGGGTATCACCATGTTGGCCAGGATGGTCTCAAACTCCCGACCTCGTGATCTGTGCGCCTTGGCCTCCCAAAGTGCTGGGATTACAGGAGTGAGCCACTGCGCCTGGCCCTTCATCGTCCATCTTTTCTTTAAGGACAGGGTTGGGTTGGTTTTCTTTCTTGTTGTATCTCCAAGCCTAATATGGTATCTGGGTAAATGTCAGGTGGATTGAAGAGAAAGAATATTAACAAATCACAGGATCTAGGATCACAGGAAACTTACATGGCTCTCCTGTTTAATCTTCAAACTTCCTTCTAAAGCTGTTAGGATGTTAGGAGGGGCACAGGAAGGGGGGCACTCTAACTGTATCCTGATCCTGCATTAGCATTTCAGAGGCCGTTGGTTCCATCAAGAAACTGGACTGTGCAAAGCATGAAATGAGACACCACATTACAACCTCATCTGAGTAATCACCCAGGGTTTATTTGTAATTCTAAGGAACAGGCACCTCCAGAGACATAACTCCTTCCTTAACCAGGCCTGGCTCTTCTGACTGCCTTCCGCCGTATAAATAGGAAGCCAGCTTGCATATTTTGCATTAATGCCTTCACGCAGGGCTGCTTTGAGTTTATTTTTGTTGCTTTCATTTTAAGACTGTGTTTATACCTCTTAGACTTCCAGCCAGAGGAAAAATGACAAGATACAAACCTTGTCCTTTTTTCAGGGACGCTCCAGACGGTTCCTGGAGGCACATGGGAAGATTAGCGACTCAGAGATGCCAAGTCACTGGCATTGGGTAGTTCTCCAAAATGGTTTTTTTTTTTTTTTGGTGGAAGAAACAGATACATCAGACTAGTCCAGCGTCTCAGTTTCCACACTTCATAACAATGGGGCACCGTGCACCTAGTGTCTAACTTACCACGCTGCCTTTGGGCCACAAATTCCATACTGTAACAGCCAATTACCCAAAACACTAAATAGGGAATGGCTCAAAAAAGGCTGTCTCTGAAAAAGCAGCAGCATTTTGATGAGCAAAAATAGTAAGAGAGGATTTTTTAAACTTAGAAAAACGAGGAAAGTTGAACCCAGCTAAGAATATTTCTGAGACACCCCCCACCCCTTGTGATTTTTCTCCCGCTAGGATTTTCCCTTGACTCGCCTCTTTAGAGACTGCTAAACACACACACACATACACACACTCATTTTTTAATCCCACCAACTCTCCTCGCCCCAAGGCCAGAGGCTTGGCGGTGACAGCTTCGAACAATGACATCACCCTAGGTTTGCCTCCTTGGCAGGGTCACCAATACTGTTTGCAGTCAATTTCCTGTAAAGGCTCTTTAAGGCAGGAAACTAGTCCTGTGCCTTGAGTCCTCCCCCTGTTCTGAGCCATCGTGTCAGGTCAAAACAAAGACTTTTTGTGTTGTTGTTTTTTTCCCCTTTTAGGAAAACAAGACTTCCCTGCACTTTTAATGAGCACCTTAATTACAAGCTAAAGAATTAGATATATTTACGGATGACCTCATGCTCGCTGATAATTAGCAATTTGAAAGACCTGGCACATCCCTAGACTCAGTTCTTTCTCCTTCACCCCCTCCCCCAAGCATTCAGGTTAATTACTAAGCTTGACCTTCCAAAACAAAGTGGGTTGGGCCCAGTCAGTCCCTACCTCCCCCAGAGCTCCCCAGCACCGAGGGGCTTGTTCCTCCCTCCCACTAAGTCAAGAATGGAAACTGCCTTAGAGAGGGTTGATTAGCCTGGGATAATGATCTAGGAGGGGTGACAGATTTCTGGGGGCCCCACTCTAAGTGTTGACAAGTTTTAATTAATGCCCAGGCTAATTGAACCCTGGCACAGTCAAGGGGAAGAAAACTGCTCATCTCAGAGGCAAGAAGTGTTTGGATATGCACAGTCCCAGCCGTGATGGCGGGGAGGTGTCTCCGAGCGGGCTCCCACTGCGGACCTGTGTGTACTTCGTGTTCTCCTGGCACGTGGATCCCACAACTGGAGATGCAGCTGACTCAGGCAGTTACTTTCCATACATTTTCTTGTGCTAGAAGGGTGTCAACAGCCTGATCAGGAAAGCGCAAACCGGGTGGCCTTCCCTTAGGGTCCTGCCTCAGGCCAACAATGGGCAGCTCCTGAACAAGGCTGCACCGCCCCACCCCCAGCCCCCATCGGTTGTCACTCCGTTGTAACATTTTCCAAATTTGCTTCAGGCCTGCACCCTGTTAGGGGAGAGGCTGGGAGGCGGACATTCTCCTCATTCTTTTGCCTTATTAGGTTGTGGATTTGATTGCTTTTGGGGGGGACAGGGGCGAAGTTGA
Organism: Homo sapiens; assembly: GCF_000001405.40. NCBI lineage: Eukaryota > Metazoa > Chordata > Mammalia > Primates > Hominidae > Homo > Homo sapiens. Next base: position 75,843 of record NW_014040929.1, on the reverse strand, counting down.
AGAATGGCATCAGGAAGTGACCCCAGGAAAGGGGGGGGCGCGGGAGGAAGGAGGAAAAGGGAATGGAGCAGCAGGCGTGAGAAGCACTGTTGGGAAGAGGCCTGGAAGGGGCAGGGCTCCTCCAAGCCCTCTAGAAAGTCCCACGTTCCAGGTCGGCAGCTGGGCACAGGCTCCTGTGCACCTCTTGGCCCCATCTGACAGCATTTCTGGGCAGTTATTTTTAGGGTTATCAGTGGGAAGCCCTTCCTGCTTCTACATCACACACCAACTGAAGAGAGGGCAGCCTGACTCCAGGCTGTGGGATGTTTCTAACTTGAGTTGGACTTTGCTTTGCGGGGAAGGGGACCCAGGGAAAGAAGGGAACCCGGGGAAAGAGCCCCCCGGCTGATAGCAAACTTAGTAACAAGTTAAATTACTCATGAAAGAACCTTCCTGGCACTGCCTATGGCACATCCCAACACAAAATTGTTCAGGGCCTGTAACTCTGAAACAAGAAGCCACCTCCCAGATAATGAGGCCCAGATGGATGCAGGGGCTGGGGAGAGGGCTGCGTTAAGTCACTTGCTCAAGTGCCCACTGCCACTTGTTGGAGGGCACTTCTTCGAAGTTGCTGGCTGGGCTCAGGACTTGGCGCTTCCTGGGGAGCACTGGAGGAAAGGGGTGTATGTTTTGGTTTCCCACTGAGCTGCGTATTTCAGCAGGCCCCTTTGAGGGGGAGACTCAAGTAGCAGATCCCACCTGGATGCAGGACCATGTGCCATTGAAATCATTTTGGGAAGCTGCATTTATTGAGCACTTACAATGTACCAGGCACCAGAGTGCTTCCTGCGCACTATCACGTCTAATCCTCAAACTGAGGATAGGATGATGCCCCTTTTCAAAGAAGGACACTGAGGCTTAACCCCCGCCACCTGCCCAGGGTCGCACAGCCAGCCGGTGGTGGAGGAGGTGGGTGTGGAGCCCAGGTCGGCCTCCCTCCATGCTCTGGCCCAGCCTTCTTGCCACTGACACCTTTCACTACCTCCTAGTTCTGGGCAGTGGGGAGTGGGGGATGTCAAAGGCACTCTCCCACAGGAGCTTCAGTGCTCTCAACACCCCCTCCCGGGGTGCAGCTAGCTAACTGCTTGGGCCCAGGGACAGCCTGTGGTACTGCGAATCCCAGTGACATCTGAGCTGCCTCCTATCTTGGTGGGTAGGCTGGGTGCTATCAGCTAACCACCAGCTGAGCAGGTGGCTCCTCCCAGCCCCTGGGACCATGCAGGAAACTCTCTGATCCTGAATAGCCTTTAACTTCCCCAGAAAAAACTCTCCCAAAGTGGGAGTGAAGCAATACATGCCTCAAATACAAGTAATGAGCTCTAGGTTCTCTTCTCAAAACATGTCCACCTCCTTATCATCTATGCCTTTCAAAAAAGAGGAAGGCAGCATCTCATAAGGACTGCTGGGCAGGGCCTCCCCGGAAGTCTTAACCAGGTGGAAAAGGAAATAGGAACCGGCTGTGCTAATATCCCCCAGCCCTCTCCTTCATGGCACTGCAGTGCTCCCGTGCCCAGGCTGCAGGGACGGGCTCAATCCAGCAACACTCACCACCCTCGCTATCTCCACTGAATCCTTCTATGGTAAACCTACTGATGCTAGGCAGTCTAATCCTTTAGGATGGAGGCTGGAGTTCTCCTGGATGATTTCTGCCCCTACCTTACTTGCACGAACTGAGCTATATTACAGCTGTCATGTGTTATCTGAAGTGGGGAGAAACACATCTGAAACCACACAAAGAGGCAAGCGCCGCTACCCTAACCTTATCCCACAGTGGGACCAGAATGCAACTCGGTTTGTCGGTGTGGGGAAGGCAATATCAAGGACACTGCGGTATTTAAGTCACACATTTGGCCATGAGCATCTGAATGAGTTTAAAAAAAAAAACACAACACTGGAGTATTTCCTGGGATGGGAACGCTAAGTTCCACAAGCAGCACTAAGGCAGTTATTTAAAGAAAAGAATAGCACCTGGAAGCGTAGCTTGGCAGGCAGGAATAAACTGAAGGCAGCACACTCCTAGGCCACCCGCGTTGCAGGGCAACAGAGGAGCTGTGGCAACCCAGCCTCGCCAGCAGACTGGGAGCCGATCCCACTTCTCAATACAGGGCGGCCGTTCCGGCTGCGCGTGGTCATCTGGGCGGCAGTGTGCAGCACCACACGCCCTGAGGGGCTGAGACACAGGGCTTGGGGAGACCCTTGGACATGAGAAGGGAGTCTCTCCATTCTTTTTGTCGAAACCTGTGCTAATTCTGAAGAGGCCATCAGCAGGCTGAAAACATATGCCTCAGAAGGCACCCCCTCCCACCTGGGGAGAAGAGTCTGGCCCACTCACGATATCTGTGACAGTGACAGGACGCATGAATGGATACGGACCCAGAACGACAGGTCTGGCTATCACAGGTTCTAAGACATGGCCAAGATGAGCATGGTACCTCATCCTTCAAACCAGCAGCTCCCCGAAGACGATGCTCATGGGGACAGGAACTGGTAGCGCTACTCCAAAGAGGCAGCTAAGAAATGTTCGATTGCACGCCGGACCCCCTAATACTTGCCCTCGGCAACCTGCCCGCAGCGGGGGCAAAGGCCCGCCCCTCCTGCACACTCACCTCCTTTATGAAAGTTTCCATGACTGACCCCACCTGCCCTGATTCACCCCTTTCCTCTCCCGGGACACAGCTAGAGTGCTGTGAGCTTGTCGGTGTGCCGTTTAGTGTCCTTCTGAGGTCTCATGTGGCCTTGCTCTCTCCCCAGCTACACCGCGAGCTCTTTGAGAGCACGGACCAGGTCTCCGGTTTCTCTCATACCCCTAAAGGCTCGGCACAGAGCTCTGCTCTGAAGAGGGGCCCAGCGAGGGCTGCTGTCTGGCCATGGCGGTCATATTTCTACCTGAGTGCTGGACTCTGGGGCCCAAGAAGCCCCAACTCATGTTACACAAGAAGCCGGTTGGCTATAAAATGTGGCCGGGCGCAGTGGCTCACACCCGTAATCCCAGCACTTTGGGAGGCTGAGGCGGGTGGATCACCTGAGGTCAGCAGTTCACAACCAGCCCGGCCAACATGATGAAACCCCGTCTCTACTAAAAATACAAAAAACTAGCTAGGCGTGGTGGCCGGCACCTGTAATCCCAGCTACTTGGGAGGCTGAAGCAGAAGAATCACTTGAACCCAGGAGGCGGAAGTTGCAGTGAGCCAAGATTGTGACATTGCACTCCACTCCTGAACAACAAGAGGGAAACTCTGTCTTTAAAAAAAAAAAAAAACAGACCCACTTTGCTCAGCAGCCCCTAATTCTGTTACCCAAGTGGTGACTGCTGGAGTCTTTCAAAGGACCTTTTATGTCTTTATAGTGTGATAGAAAGAGGCAGCTCCCCCTCCAAGACAGACTTTCCTATCTGCAGCAGCTTGGAGCAGGTTCAGCTCAGCATAAATGCATAATAAGCCACCCACCATGGAAACTTACAGCTGTGTCCCAAACGTGGGGTAGGACTCAACCTAATCCGACACATTTTCCATGTGCCATGCACCTCTTCCCACTCTGAATTGATTTTATAAAGTGGAAGTTTTGTTTTTGTATTTAAGGGGATAAGAATAAACACACACACACTTATCTCCCCTCCTATACAGCTACTTAAAAGATTTAACAAGTTCACATGGCTATGCTGCCAGGAGAATGGAAACCTCGCCATCTTCTTTCCAGCTGAAGCAGCTGGGCTGGCTGCACCATCACAGGCCACCATAATCATTTGCTCCGTTATACTCTACCCACGGGGCGATTTTTGTTGTCAAATCATCAGTGCTAAGGCTGAGAGAATCCCAGCCCATGTTCACTCTAGACAACCCATGAAGGTAACTTCTTGCTGGGTGCTGTGTGTTCAGAGGCAGGAGTGTCTATCAATAGCCCAGAGCTCCCTGTTGCTGTTCCTCCCTCCTTGAGTAAAAGCCACATAACTCGTTTGACAAGCTCTGCCTTCAAATGGGGAGTTGTGGGTCCAATGAAACCTACTGAAACCTGTCATATTCCTGGACTGGTTTCCAGTGAGGTACAGAAAGCTAAGCACCTCAGACTGAATCAGCCTGTATGCCTGTCTCTTTCTCTGAACTAGAACCACCCTCACTCCAACTGACCAAAGGAAACAAGGAGGAAATACTAAGTGAAAGAGGGATTTATAGAGAAGGAAAGGACCTAGGAGAAAAGCCAGTTTAAAAATCAGGCTGCCAGGCCGGGCGCGGTGGCTCACGCCTGTAATCCCAGCACTTTGGGAAGCCGAGGCGGGCGGATAACGAGGTCAGGAGATCAAGACCATCCTGGTTAACACGGTGAAACCCCGTCTCTACAAAAAATACAAAAAATTAGCCGGGCATGGTGGCGGGCGCCTGTAGTCCCAGCTACTCGGGAGGCTGAGGCAGGAGAATGGCGTGAACCTGGGAGGTGGAGCTTGCAGTGAGCCGAGATTGTGCCACTGCACTCCAGCCTGGGCAACAGAGTGAGACTCCGTCTCAAAATAAATAAATAAATAAAAATAAATCAGGCTGCCATCTTCTACAATACTTATTGGAAAAAAAATCAGGCTTCCTGGCTTCCAACTTCAAAGAAGGAGACTCAACATTTTACAAAAGATGCTTTGTAAAGCAAGTGGCATCCCACCAGGTAGAAATGGCCTCTTGATGGGACCAAAGGAGGCTGGAACTTGTTCATGTTGTAAAAGTTAAGCTCCCTAAGAGAGCCACACTACAAAGCCATTATGAGTAGTACACAGTGCCATAAAACTCCAGATTCAAAGTTACCAACGCTTTAATCAAATACACGTGCCGACTGCCGAAATCATCACAGAGATAACTGCAGCTTTTGTTTGGCTGATTCATGTTCTGCCGTCTTGGGGTTCCCACTTTAGAAGTCAGTTCTGGTTTGGCCTGTCCAGGAGGCCTGGGAGGAAAGGGTAGGAGCGCCAGAGTCCTGGAAGCATGAGGTTCCTGACCTACTGGCATCTAAGAGGGACTGAGTTTGCAGGCGCAAGTTGAATGTAGACTCATCAGCACTTCTAACAACACAGCTCTAAGCAATCTGGCTGTGCCCATCTCTTCCACGGGCTCCGCTCTGACCACTCGGGCCTTTCTGCTCCTCGGGGGCCCCCTTGCTTGGTTTTCTCTGTTGGAAGCGCGTTCCTCTGGTGCTCTCTTGGTTCTCTCTTTCTCATCCGTTAAGGAACAGCTGAAATGCCACCTCTTTGAGACCTTCCTCTCCATCTGAAGTACCTGCACTGCACACTCCTCCCCTCACCACCCGCTCGCAAAGCCATTCCCAATCACTAGACTTCAGTGTAGTGTAGAAATAACAGCATAAACTTGAAAGCCTCAACTTCTACATTCAAATCCTGGCACTGTCACAGGGGCAAGTGGCTTAAAGGCCCATGGATCCATTTCTGCATGTAAGGGTAACAACACCTGCTTCACAAGATTATACAAGTGAGTCCATGGGTCGGGCATGGTGGCTCGCGCCTGTAATCCCAGCACTTGGGGTGGCTGAGGCGGGTGGGTCACCTGAGGTTGGGAGTTCAAGGCCAGCCTGACCAACAAGGAGAAACCCCGTCTCTACTAAAAATACAAAAATTAGCCAGGCATGGTGGCACGTGCCTGTAATCCCAGCTACTCGGGAGGCTGAGGCAGGAGAATTGCTTGAACCCAGGAGACGGAGGTTGCAGTGAGCCAAGAACACGCCATTGCACTCCAGCCTGGGCAACAAGAGCGAAACTCAGTCTCAAAGGAAAGAAAAAAAAACAAAAACCAGTCAGTCCATGGGAAGCACTTAGAATAGTGTCTAGCACAAGGTAAAATGCTAGCTGTTATTTAATTTATTGCACATAATCCTATCTGAAGTTACCTTGTTCATTATCTATATGCATGCTGTCTCCCCCACCAGCCTGTGATAGATCAAGAACGTGTAGAAATAAGGCTGGGGGCGGTGGCCCATGCCTGTAATCCCAGCACTCTGGGAGGCCAAAGCGGGTGGATGACCTGAGGTCAGGAGTTGGAGACCAGCCTGGCCAACATGGCAAAACCCTGTCTCTACTAAAAATACAAAAATTAGCCGGACATGATGGCCACGCCTGTAGTCCCAGCTATTTGGAAGGCTGAGGCAGGAGAATAATAGCTTGAATCTGGGAGACAGAGGCTGCAGTGAGCTGAGATCCTGCCACTGCACTCCAGCCTGGGCAACAGAGCAAGACTCCAACTCAAAAAAAAAAAAAAAAGATCATATAGAAATAAGATGGAGGAAGTTTTGCATTTGATCATCTGATTTCCTTGGTAGCCACAACCAATCCCAAATAAGGGGGCACACTCCCCAAAGACCCTCACTGCCCATACTCTGACATAATTGAACCCACAGAGCTTGAGCTGCTGCTCAGAAGTCTCATGTTTAAACTATGCTTGGAATGTCTGATAGGAACATGCATTTATTTTTAGGCAAGAAAGTTGTCTCCTAAGCTAACCCTGTGGCCCCAGAGCAGGCCGTATTTGGCAAGAACTGCTTTGTGCTTGTTTATTAAAGAGGCCCAAAACTTTCTCAACTCTAAGGTAGCTGCTAAGAGAACTCGGTGCGCTGTGAGTCTTATATTTTTATGGTCAAAGTTTGCTTCCTGTGAATCTCTGAGGTGTTTCTACAAGGCTAATAGGAGTCAAGTGTCACCCCTTACCTTCCACAGCTTCAAGCCACAATCTATTAACCAATCATCCCTCAATTGGCTCACAGCTCTCAATGGATTCAATTCTATCCTATGGCTTGTGCCTCATCAGTGTTAATGAAAGTTACAAAGGGGCTGGGCGCGGTGGCTCATACCTGTAATCCCAGCACTTTGGGAGGCCTAGGTGGGCATTACGAGGTCAAGGGTTCAAGACCAGCCTGGCCAACATGGTGAAACTCCGTCTCTCCTAAAAAATACCAAAACTAGCTGGGCGTGGAATGCATGCCTGTAGTCCCAGCTACTCGGGAGCCTAAGGCAGGAGAATCACTTGAACCCAGGATGCGGAGGTTGCAATGAGCCGAGATTGCACCACTACACTCCAGCCTGGGTGACAGAGTAAGACTCCGTCTCAAAAAAAAAAAAAGAAAAGAAAAGAAGAAAAAAAAGTTACAAAGGGAAAGGGAAAATTAGTTCAAAAAATGGCCAAGAAGGCCCTCCCCTAACCGGTCTAGGTATTTCATCTCACCCCACCATGAGACACAGTGTCGGGTGATTATAGCCGACATTCTTGAAAAAGACATTTAGAGACAGCCCTTTCTGTTTTACACAGACAAGTCCTACCACAGTCTTGGCAGTGTAGCTCAAACGATCCAAAAAAAAAAGTAACTGCCTCACAATCCTGGTGATGTTTACCGTCTGGATACCTTCCAGGACTTGAATATCTGAATCATGACTGGTTCGTAGACAGCCTGTAAGAAGGGTCGATTCATCTGACTGCCCTTGAACCGGCCTGGCAAGTTGGCTCTTCCAGACATTTTGAATTTTGAAACTGACTGTATTTCATAGGCCAGAACTGGAAGATCACAGAAGTCTTCAAATCTCTGACCCTTCCAAATGCAAGGCATACCAGTAACAGCCAAAGAAGCACTTTGTGAAAGTGTTTAATATTTTCATCCAATATATAGTTTAAGGCAAGGTACTCATTTTCTTAAAGAAAAGCAGGGAGTGACAGAGAGAAAAGGATTTGCTGTTAGATTTGGATTAGGGAGGATGTGGATTTAAAAAAAAAGTTACTTGTGCTTGGGATTTGTGGGAAATTTAGAGTTCTTTTTAATTTATCAGTGTTTGTGGAAGTAGGCAAAAGATACAGGCATATTTTGTCCTATTATTAAGAAGTCACATAGCTGAGATTCCAGTTCCAAACTCCTAGAGAAAAAAAGCACTCTTCTAGGCTACAAAGCCAGCAGCGGATTTCATGGAGTGCTCTCCTTTTTCTTCTCCCTCTCTCATGCACAAATGCACACTCCTCATCAACACAATCAACTGGCCCAACTCCTGCCCCGAGGACAGAGGGCCTTCATCCCCTACCTGGCAAGGCTGCTGTGCCTGTAGGTATTTTCCTGTGATACCAAGTGGCAGGATCTTTTTTTCTGCCCGGGGCCTAACACTCCACCATTAGCACTGCCTCTGGTATGAGGGCACTCCCCAAAACAGTAAGTAAGCAACTTGGTTTCCATGGTGATAGCAACTAAATACCTTTTACTCACACCCAGATGGAGATTGATCATAGAATAGTAATTTGTTAACCGTTACACATACTGAGGCCTTGATGACACCAACTGAAGTCAGCTTCCACCACTGCCCTTGGCCTTGGTAAAAGAAGGCCTGTCATTTTGCTAAGGCAGGCTGTAGACCCACAGTCCTCTTATTGTGACGTCCCCCTCAGGCAACTTCCCAGCATGTCCAGATGCCGAACCACCTGCGAGCTTCCTTCCAAGATGCCTCTCCTAACCTCAAACTGGCCTTCACCACCGAAACGAAGTGTGTATTTAAAAAAGGAAAAGAAAGAAAGAAAAAAGAAATGCATCTATTTCACTTCCTGCAGTCCCCTCAATCTGTATAGCTGTAATTAAGACATTATTAGAACTGGAATCAGTCATTACTACTCAGGAGGTAAGATATTAAAACTCTTTATCTTGGGCTTTTTGCAGATTAAAAGCCTGGGCAACATAGTGAGACCCAGTCTTTACAAAAAATTTAAAAATTAGTTCGGGCACAGTGGCTCATGCCTGTAACCCCAGCACTTTGTTGGGCCAAGGTGGGTGGATCGCTTAAGGTCAGGAGCTCAAGACCAGCCTGGCCAACATGGTGAAACCCTGTCTCTACTAAAAATACAAAAATTAGCTGGGCGTCGTGGCGCGCGCCTGTAATCCCAGCTACTTGGGAAGCTGAGGCAGGAGAATCACTTGAACCGGGGAGGCAGAGGTTGCAGTGAGCTGAGATCGTGCTACTGCACTCCAGCCTGGGTGACAGAGTGAGACTCCATCTCAAAAAAAAAAAAAATTAAAATTAGCTGGCCATGGTGGTGCACACATAATCCCAGCTACTAGGGAGGCTGAGGCTGAAAGATCCCTTGAGCCCAAGAGTTCAAGGCTGCAGTGAGTTATGATTAGGCCACTGCACTCCAGCCTGGGTGACAGTGAAACCCTGTCTCTAAAAAATCAAAACAGAACAAAAACCAAATGTGTTCCCTTCAGACATGGAAAACACAAAGTGGGGTATACTGCCTGCCTTCTGTGCTTCCTCTGATCCACCTAGACTGTGGCTTCCACCCACTCTCAAAAGACATCAGGGAGGGGAAAAGATGAAAAGAAAAACCCACTAGAAAGCTAGTGACAGACATCACTCAGCCCCACACCTTTGGGGGGGAAACTTTAAAAAACATAAAACAAACCACAAAGTCTTCTTTATTCCTGCCTGAAGCTGAAGACACAAATGCTATTGTATTGCTGGTGTTCTAGCATCCCATTCAATCATTGCAACACCATCCACGATATTTCCCAAGATGACTTCATTGTGTTCTGCAGGGTAGTAACTGCCGCTTCCAACTACTTCTGCCCCATGTGGATAGTTCCACTGGAAGACAAAGAATCTGTTCTGCTCTGATATTTGGAAGAAAAACATTTAAATAAGCCTTGTTAACTCAGCAGGAGGGCACTGCTTTCCTTTCAAAATGTAGGGTTCAAATCCGATGAAGGGGTGGCAGTGTGCTTTCTTCGTGGGAGGGGCCCAACTCTAAGAAGAAAACTGGAGCCTTAAGAGAAAAAGTTGGCTGGGCGTGGTGACTCACACCTGTAATCCCAAGACTTTGGGAGGCTGAGACCAGACTGGGCAACACAGCAAAACCCCATCTCTACAAAAACACAAAAATCAGTCAGGCGTGGTGGTGTGCACCTCTAGTCCCAGCTACTTGGGAAGCTGAGGTGGGGGGATGGCTTGAGCCCGAGGTCAAAGCTTCAGTGAGCCAAGATTGTTCCACTGCACTCCAGCCTTGGTAAAAAGAGTGACACCCTGTCTCAAAAAAAAGGAACAAAGGCAAGAAAAACGAAGAAAGAAAAAAGTTGTGTGAGGAACAAATGATAAACCCACATTTCTTACAGCTAGCCCTCTGTATCCATGGGTTCTCTATCTGTGAATTCAACCAACAATGGATCGAAAATACTGGAAGAAAAAAAATGAATGGTTGCATCTGCACTGAACATGTACATATTTTTGTCATTATTTCCTAAACAGCACAGTGTAACAACCATTTACGTAGCATTTAGCATTAGGTTATAAGTAATCTAGAGATGATTTAAAGTATTCAGGAGGATGTGCATAGTTAAAATGCAAATTACACATCGTTTTATCTTACATAAGGAACTTGAGCATCTGTGGATTTTGGTATATAAGGGGGTTCCTGGAACCAATCCCCCACAGATACTGAGAAATGACTGTATTTTCAATGTGTCCTGGTTTCTTACAAAACCTCAAAAGCACTAACACTTGAAACTGAAGATGAATCAAGCATCATCCAGTCATGAGCCATATGTTCGAGTCTAGTATGGCCGGATGACACACAGAGCCAAGAGGGGCTGTGTGCTCCTGGACAAGGTGCTGCCCTGCCCACCTCGACCAGATGAGATCAAGTTTTTTTCCCAAGTGTGACATACACACATGGAAAATTTTAAGGGTTATCTACACCTTACATTACACCCTGAATCACATTGAGAAAGTTATTTCCTTTGATTCTCTTGTAAACCTGATGACTTCAAAGAGAAAGTCTCTGCTTGGTGCTGGTGGGTCTTTAACACCTCACCAACACTTGCCAATCCCTTTCTAACAAAGGGAGCAGGCCTCAAGCCTGGGGGGCCTTCAGCCCGAGTGGTAACCACCTGGAAACAACACTGTTTTGTTTTCAATGTGTTTATTTTTGCAGTTTCCTTCTATTATATTTATGGCCAGGGGAGCTGGGTTTTCCAGTTGCCATACTCTTGTCAGTTTTCCTTTCAAAACTTAATTTAAAATGCAAACTGATTCAAAGGAAATTATTATGTGTCTATAAAAGTGGTTATGGAAAATCACAAATGGCTGCAGTTTACGAAGGAAGGGGATAAGCACAGGGGGACTGCTCTGGCTGGGGAGCCTCACTCCTGGGGGAGGGGGAGAGAATGGAACTCATCCCAGGAAGGAAGGAGCCAGCACAACAACAGGTGGCAAACAGCAAATCCCACGTAAACTCACTCCACTCGCCTTCAGATAACACTTGCATAAATCACAACCAAGAAAAAGGCCACTGACCTCTTCCAGAGTAAACGCTGTTCAAACTAAAGGGAAGGCAGGCAAATTACACCAATCAGCTTCTAAGACTTTCCACGGACATTCCAAGTTAATGCCTCTCTTGTTTATGGAGAAAGGGGAGGGGAGGGACGTGAAAAAACACAACCAAAAAAAGGCACAACACCAAGACAAATGCCTCGGGGATTTTTATAATCCCAGGGAAACTGCTACTTGGATAAAACTTCCCATGCACTGATGTAAGGATGCTCTTGCCAGTTAAATATATGCAAAGATTTAACTCCTTTTCTTTTTCTTTTTTTTTTTTTTTTGAGACGGAGCCTTACTCTGTCGTCCAGGCTGGAGTGCAGTGGCGTGATCTCAGCTGACTGCAACCTCCACCTTCCAGGTTTGAGTGATTATCCTGCCTCAGCCTCCCCAGTAGCTGGGATTACAGGGGTGCACCACCGTGCCCGGCTAATTTTTTGCATTTTAGTAGAGATGGGGTTTCACCATGTTCGCCAGGCTGGTCTTGAAGTCCTGACCTCACGTGATCCACCTACCTCGACCTCCCAAAGTGCTGGGATTACAGGCGTGAGCCACCACACCCGGCGATTTCACTTTCTGGAGGAGGCGGGATCCTTCCCTGGGTCAGGTGGTTAATTTCTCCCCTTCATAAGATCCTTCTTTAAACAGAGGCTGGAATTTAAAATGATTCTGTTTCTCTTTGATTCATTGAAAGTTACACTCCTTGATGCCTGGGATACCGAGTAAAATGTAACTCATAGACCTTCTTGAAGAAAAGTTAAGTGATACCTGGGCCACTTTCAGACACTTTATAACAAATTCTGGCGCCTAGGCTGCCAACACTGTAAAACTAAGTTTCCTTGTAACTTGCTTTGATGTTTCCAAGTTTAAACCCATTCTAAAGAAGACTAATGAGCTCTCAAACTACCCAGTGATAGAAAGACTTCTTTCAAATCTCCACGGATGACAGTATTTGTATCTGCTCAAGTAGAAGCTTCCGTCTCTCTTGTAACAGGTCAGTGCTTCAGTTACCACTGCCATTGAATTACCCACTTGCTATCACTTGCCTCTTATTTCCATAAAAAAAGAAACGGAGGAAAAAACTGTTTAAGTTTTACCTTGTTTAAAAGTAACACGAGTGCTTTTGTTATTCTGTAAACTAAATACATAAATGAAGGCAAAGGAAGGAAACTGAGGGAAGGGAACAAAATGTGAGTGATGAAAACACGGAGTTCATTAAATGAAGGAATAAAGATAAAGCCGGGGAAAACACTGCTCTAGGATATACTAAGGCAAGGGAAGAGATAAACATGTTGATATTTCAGCTATTCAGAAAACCTGAACGAGCAAGTGATACTAGAGCAAACAGCTGTTCACTAATTATATTTGCCCTTCCCTTCTGCCCTTCAAAAAAGTAAAAGCAGCAGCAAGGGAATCTTTTTTTTTTTTTTTTAAAGAACAACCCTAAGGTCTGGTCAAAGGCTTGTACAATTCCCAGCACAACATAAATCAGTGTAGCAAAAACGGAAAGTGTTCATCTCAACGGTTTCAAATTCCTTGGGCCTTCCCAAATCAATTCTTTTTTGGCTCCATTCTGTTTGCTAACTAGCACTGGCAGATAACTTGTGCTACACTCAGTTCACTCTGAAAAAGGGCGCTGTCTGGCCAAAGTCTGCCATGACTGGAGCATATGTTGAAACAGCAGAACTCCCCACCCAGGAGGCTTAGACTTAAAACTTGTCCCCGCTCCCCTCTGTCATCTGATTTTTTTTTTTTTTTTTGAGATGGAGTCTTGTTCTGTCACTCAGGCTGGAGTGCAGTAGCGCGATCTTGGCTCACTGCAACCTCCACCTCTCAGGTTCAAGCGATTCTCCTGCCTCAGCCTCCCAAGTAGCTGGGATTACAGGCACCTGCCACCATGCCCAGTTAATTTTTGTATTATTGGTAGAGACGGGGTTTCACCATGTTGGCCAGGCTGGTCTCGAACTCCTGACCTCAGGTGATCTGCCCACCTCAGCCTCCCAAAGTGCTGGGATTACAGGCGCGAGCCACTGCGCCCGGCCATAAGACCACATTTTAACTGACCTCCCTGACTGTGTCAGAGCTTAATAGCACCAGCACTACTTGGATATTCACACACCACCCTGCTTCCTCCAACACTTTCCACTGAACTTTCCCCCCCACAAGGCAGCCCACTTGGGGCCAAGCAGTCGGCTGCCGTTAAATGGAGGCTTTTAGCACCAGTTCCAACTGGAGGGTGAGTCAGCTCCCTGCCACCAAAGTAGCCTCCCTGTTGGTCTTAGAAGCCGGAACCAGGGAGGGTGTTTCAAAAGGCAGAGGGCAATCCTGGGCCCACACCCTGGATTGTTTAGGATTAGGTGAGTGGCAGGTGCCACTCCAGGGCACCAGCCAGATCTCAACTCTTAGCCAGGTGAGTGTAAGTGACCCTGCAGTCCCAGGCCATCTTCCCATACCCCACCTTTTCTTCAGTCATTAGAAGAGTCAAGTTCTAAAATACATTCTGGAGAGGATGAGGGGAGAGAACAGAGTGCTAGCAGCTGAGTGGCCTCCCCTATCCCTCTTACAAGAGGGCAAACAGAGTATACTTGCCTCTCACACATATTTACACAGTCTTTTTTCTAGATAACAGTTGAGTTTGAGTTTGGTTCCTTTTTTTTTGTCAAGTGTGTTACTCAATTTTGAAAACTGTTAGTCCTAGCCAGATCCTAAGAGGCAAGCAATTAGAGTAATGGAACAAAGTAACAGATGGCTACTTTGGGGCCTCCATTATCAGCCTTTAAAAAGAAAAAAAGATCTACTTCAAGAAAAACAAGGCAGGGCACAGTGGCTCACGCCTGTAATCCCAGCACTTTGGGAGGCCGAGGCAGGCGGATCACTTGGGGTCAGGAGTTTCAGACCAGCCTGGCCAACATGGTGAAACTCTCTGTCTCTACTAAAAACACAAAAATTAGCCAGGCACGGTAGCACACGCCTGTAGTCCCAGCTACTCAGGAGGCTGAGGCAGGAGAATTCCTTGAACCTGGAAGAGGTTGTGGTGAGCCAAGATCACACCACTGCACTCCAGCCTGGTGACAGAGTGAGGCTCTGTCTCAAAAAAAACAAAACAAAACAAAACAAAAAAAACAAATACAAAAAACAAACAAAAACTTTCAAATAGTTAACTCATACCTAATACAGCCACATGGGCAACAAGAGCAAAACTCCGTCTCCAAAAAAAAAGCCAACGGTCAGGGTTGAAACATTGAGGCCCCTGAAATAGTGATGTTTCAATGAACACGAAAACTTAGCAAGTGAGTCATTTCTTCTTGCTGTAATGAGATTTGGCATAACCTTCAAGAGATCTCACCCTTCCAGGACAACAGAGGGTGATGAGGTTACCCAGGCCACTTTTAGAAATTGGGAGAGGGAACTGTGGCCCAGAACTGTAATTGCTCAAGAATTTGCTCAAAGACCAGAACAATGCTTCTCCATCCCGCCAGGAGAACACTCATGGCCCTCTCATGTAAAAACCGTTGCATAACCTACTTACGGGTTACAGGGGTCCCTAGAAGTCAGAGCAAAGGGCTTCCAAGCAGAAGTGAGACACACGTCCCCTCTGATTTGGGCCAACTCTTGCTTAATTCCTAGAAGAATTCAATTCTACCCACTTTGAGGGCCTACAGCTGTTCTGGATGCATATTTTTTTGGAGTATGCATGTACAGAACCCCCAGGACTGTCATTCTTCCCGTGCCCAGTGGCTCAGCCTTGGAGAGGCAAGAAGGGCAATCTGTCATTCACTAAAGCAACACTGCAATGTAGAAAAAACCCAGCCAGTCTGGGTGCAGTGGCTCACTCCTGTAATCCCAGCACTTTGGGAGACCGAGGCGGGCGGATCTCCTGGGGTCGGGAGTTTGAGACCAGCCCGACCAACATGGAGAAACCCCGTCTCTACTAAAAATACAAAAAGCCAGGCGTGGTGGCGCATGCCCGTATTCCCAGCTACTCGGGAGGCTGAGGCAGGAGAATCGCTTGAACCCGGGAGACGGAGGTTGCGGTGAGCCAAGATCACGCCCGGGCAACAAGAGCAAAACTCCGTCTCCAAAAACAAACAAACAAACAAACAAACAACCCAGCCAGCCTGGGAGTGCAGGGATGTTTCTTAGTAGGAAGGTAGAGAGCCACACAGATTGGTGTATTCCTTTCCATTACTCCTTCCCCCATTTCAAAAAGAATCCCTACCCCATAACAGGAAAGGGCACAGAGGTGAAGCAGTAGTTTCCCCCACAGAGCAGCTAAGGGTAAATATTTGCTGGAGGAGGTGTAAAGCAGGAGGTACTAGAATCTGGCTCTGGCTGAGACACGAAAGCAGATGGTATTAGCGGACTCTGTGAGCCACCCTTTTCCCTCAAACCTGCCCGGCCCCAGAGGAAGGGAGCTGGGAGGTAAGAGAATGACACATGGCAGCAAGGCCTGGAGGTTCTGGGGAGTCCTGGTTTCCACCCAGGGCCTGAATGGTGCCCCAGCCTCACCCTGTAGGCAAGGGACACTATAACCACGAACAAAGCCCACACCCTAACTCTCGGGAGGGAGTGAAACCCGGCTCGCAAAAGGAGTCACTTGAGGAGTGGCAGAAGACAGGAAGGGAGAGAAAAGGAAGGTCCCCCCACCCTTATCACCTGAGAAAAAAGGGGGAGGGGTTTATTTTCTCCAGCACCTTCAGCTGCAGAAGACAAAGCCTAGACATTCTCAAAACCACCACTGTGGCCCCTGCTCCCTCCCAACTTTCCAGGTCTCTTGGCAACCTTTTCCAACCTGGCACTGCCTCAGGCAATAAATTATTGTTGAGACTCCAGAACAGATCTCACCTTCCCCTCAAAAAGTGAATTTATGCCAACTATCGCAACCTGTCCATCCTGCAGTAGGTGGGGCCACGGATAAGGACACCCCTCCCACCAAGCCACTGCCATGCCCCTCAGTTACTACGGATGAGGAAATTCAAGCAACGCTGGTAATGGACCCAAGGTTATGCCCGGCCCCACCTCAGGCTGCCTTGGAACAGCTGCTCCTTCCACCCTTCCCACCCTTTCCCCTCCAGCCTGGGCTAGGCTGCCTGTGCCAAGCTCCTGGCCACCAACTCGCGCCCTCGAGAGGCTTCCAGTCACTCCCCACTCTGCCAGGTCACCACTCAAAGCCCTGTAGCCTGTTCCTGAAAAATCTCCACCAAACTCACTCTCCCAAACCTTCAGAGCCCTGTCCAAAGTCCCAACTCTACACACATCCCTCTTTATTAACAGAATCACCGCAGGGAACCCTCGGATCCCTTTGCATTTTGCAGATAACAAAACTGCCCGGAGAGTTCAAGGGTCTTGTCCAAGGCCACAGAGCGAATCAGTAACAAATCTGGAAAGAAAATCCAGATCTCCAGATCCCACGAAATGCTTCCAACTTCAAGTACCTCCCACCCATTTCACGCACAAAACTTCTGAACAACCCCTTCCCCCCACACACACCCACTCACCACGCTCCTTTCTTTAGCTCTTCCTGCACACACTCAGAGCTCCCCCCTCAACCACACTGGATTTATCCCCCCCCCACAGACACTGACACCTCGCTCGGGGATCCCACTCCACTTCTGATCACCTTTTCACTGCTGTGGGGCCCTACCAAGTTGCCCCCCCCGCCCCCCAAAAAAACAGTGCCACCTGAACACAGTCTCTGCTTCAGGATCCCTTCACCTACCTCCGGTCTCTCCAAAAAAGACACAATTCTTCCTGGACACTCTCAACGCTTCCTCCCCAAACTCATTCTGCCTGCACGACACACACACGCTCTCCAGTCCCGGGACTGCACCTCCAGGAGCCAGCACCCCCTCCTCAAATTCCTTTCTCAGTCTATCCATTACGCATTCCCTTTCTAATGAGACTTTCATTTTCCTAAACGAACCTCTCTCCCATTATCCACCATTCCAGCTCACCCTCCCTCCCACCGATCTCACCTTCTCCCTCTACACTTCCTCATTCTCTCCAACGCTTTAGCTTTTCAGCTTCCCATCAATTCTTTAGAAATCCCTCCCCAAATTATCCCCACTCTCCGTATCCCCTCTACTTCGGCTTCTCCATCCCTCATCAATTCCTCTTATTATTCCTCCTATCTCTTAATCTTCTCCCCTTTGGAACAGGGCACCACAAATAAATCTCACCCCCTTCAAAAACGTCTGATTCACGGGCCCCTTAACTTCTTCCTTCCGCACCCCACCCTCCTCAGACCCCCAGTCCTGGCACCTCTACCCTCCTCACACCCTAAGCCCATGTCTTTTCATGCTCAATTCTACCCTTAGCCCCTGTTTTCATCTTCCCAGCCTCCCTAGTCTTCCCACCCGTCTTCAGACCCCACAATCTCCACTCCATCCTCACACTTGATTCTTCATCCCCTTTATAACTCCCCCAACCTGAGGCTCCCCCAATTCCAATCTCCTTCAGATCTTTCTGCTCTCCAAATAACCAACCCCTCCACACTCAAGCTCCTCCTCACACTTCCCAGACCCAGAAATTCCCTTCTCAGCCTCCCCTGATTCTCCTCCCAGCACCCCCAACCCATGCTCCGACCCTTCAAGCCCGCCTCGGATCCCAGTTCCATTTCAGCCTGCCCAGTCATCTCCTCGGTTTCCCCTAATGGCACGCCCAGACCCTCCAAATCCTTCATCAGCCTTCCCGATTCCTTTTATTTGACTCCCATATTCCCCACCCAGCCGCCAATTCTCTTTTCAGATTCCCAATTCCTTCCTCTAGCTCGGCGATTCCTCCTCAGGACTCCAATTCCCTTCCCGGACCCGCCAATTCCTTCTCGGGACCCCCCCGTTCCCATCACAGACGCTCCAGTTACCTTTCAGGACCTCCCACCCCTCCCCGGGCCCCCTCAGAAAAGCCCCTCCAGCCCGTCCGGCCCGCGGGCCGCGCACCTTGCGCTGCTGCTTCTCCCAGGCCGGGTCCAGCAGCAGGTCCCGGTCCCAGTCGTCCTCCTGGGCCATGTAGTCGCCCATGCTGCCCCCGCCGCCAGCGCCATTGCCCGCGCTGCTGGGGCCGTACTGGTACGACTGGTTCGCCGCGTGGTAGTCCACCATTCCGCCGCCTCTCGCTCGCCCACCAGCCTGTCCGCTCCCGCCTCAGCTCCCGCCCCTCTGCCCGAGCCGCCGCCGCTACCGCCGCTTCAGCTGCTTCAGCCCGCCCTCCGCCCGCGCCTGCGCACTGCCCGCCGCGCCTGCGCACAGCGCCGAGGTTGCCGCCCTCCCGCGCGCGCGCGCCTGCCAAACCAGAAAAGGCACCAAGGCCGCGCTCCGGAGCTTGGCGCCTGCGCAGAGTCCCGCTTCCTGGCCGCCCGACTCAGCCCGGGGGCGAGCCGCGCCCCCTCTCCGGCGTGAACGCGCGCGTCGTTCGCGTATGGGCGGGGCCAGATCATGAATGATTCATAAGGGCAGGCCCCGCCATCGGACCTGAACCAGCTCAGGCTTGGAATGCACTGCACCGGGTTCCCATTCAGCGACACAAATTCAACAAATATTTATTGAACACCTATTCTGTGCCAGACTATGTTTTACGCAGGCACTAAAAACAGAAAAAAATCCCAACTTTCATGAAACTACCTTCTAGTAAAGGAAGCCACATACACACAAATCTACTTTTATTTTTATTATTTTTTGAGACGGAGTCTCGCTCTGTCTCCCAGGCTGGAGTGCAGTGGCGCGATCTCGGCTCACTGCAACCTCCGCCTCCCGGATTCAAGCAATTCTCCTGCCTCAGCCTC
Organism: Homo sapiens; assembly: GCF_000001405.40. Lineage (NCBI taxonomy): Eukaryota > Metazoa > Chordata > Mammalia > Primates > Hominidae > Homo > Homo sapiens. The sequence continues at coordinate 56,701 of NW_014040929.1, read as the reverse complement.
CCGAGTAGCTGGGAACACAGGCATGCTCCACCACACCCGGCTAATTTTTGTATTTTTTTAGTAGAGACGGGGTTTCACCATGTTGGCCAGGCTGGTCTTGAACTCTTGAGCTCAAGCGATCCTCCCGCCTCAGCCTCCCAAAGTGCTGGAATTACAGGCGTGAGCCACCGCGCCCAACCAACACACAAATTTTTTTTTTTGAGACGGAGTTTCGCTCTTGTTGCCCAGGCTGGAGTGCAATGGCGTGATCTGGGCTCACTGCAACCTCCGCCTCCCAGGTTCAAGCTATTCTCCTGCCTCAGCCTCCCGAGTAGCTGGGATCACAGGCATGTGCCACCACTCCTGGCTAATTTTGTATTTTTAGTAGAGACGGGGTTTCTCCATGTTGGTCAGGCTGGTCTCAAACTCCCGACCTCAGGTGATCCGCCCACCTCGGCCTCCCAAAGTGCTGGGCTTACAGGCATGAGCCACTGCGCCTGGCCTCAACACTCAAAATTTTAAAAAATATGTAGACAGGCACAGGGGCTCACACCTGTAATCCCAGCACTTTGGGAAGCTGAGGCGGGAGGATGGCTTGAGCCCAAGAGTTCAAGGCCAGCCTAGGCAACATAACAAGAACCTGTCTCTACAAGAAATGTAAAAATTCACTGGGCATGGCTGTGTGCACCTGTAGTCCCAGCTACTCAGGAGGCTGAGGAAGGGACATCACTTGAGCCCAGGAGTTCCAGTCTGCAGTGAGCTGTGATCACACCAATGCACTCCAGAAGCGAAATCCTGTCTCAAAAATATACATAAAAGTAAAAAATAGGTAGTATTGTATATTCCAAGGTGTTGAGTATTTGGAGAAAAATCAAGCATGGGCTGGAATGCAAATAAACTACTCAGGTAGGCTTCATGGAGAAGGCAGACATTTAAACAAAGGTGCGAGCCACTGCATCAGGAAGCATCTTAAATTTAAATATTCAGCCAGGCACTGGTGGCTTACTCTTGCAATCCCAGCACTCTGGGGAGTCAAGGCTGGAAGAGTGCTTGAGCCCAAGAGTTTGAGGCCAGACTGGGTAACATAACAAGATCTCATCTCTACAAAAAAATGTTTACATTAAAAATAAATGGCCGGGCGCAGTGGCTCATGCCTGTAATCCCAGCACTTTGGGAGGCCGAGGCAGGCAGATCACGAGGTCAGGAGTTAGAGGCCAGCCTGGCCAACATGGTGAAACCCCGTCTCTACTAAAAATACAAAAATTAGCCGGGCTTGGTGGCATGCACCTGTAATCCCAGCTACCCAGGGGGCTGAGGTAGGGGAATCACTGGAACTCGGGAGGCAGAGGCTGCAGTAAGCCGAGATCGCGCCACTGTACTCCAGCCTGGGCGACAGAGCAAGACTCCGTCTAAAATAAAAATAAAAATAAATAAATAAATATCCGGCCAGGTGTGGTGGCTCACGCCTGTAATCCCAGCACTTTGGGGGGCCGAAGTGGGCGGATCACCCCAGGTCAGGAGTTCAAGACCAGCCGGGCCAACGACTCCGTCTCTACTAAAAATACAAAATTAGCCAGGCATAGTGGCACATGCCTGTAATCCCAGCTACTCAGGAGGCTGAGGTAGGAGAATAGCTTGAACCTGGGAGACGGAGGTTGTGGTGAGCCAAGATTGCACCATTGTACTCCAGCTTGGGCAACAAGAGCGAAACTCCATCTCAAATAATAATAATAATAAATATCCAAAATAGAGTTCCTGATCTTCCCCCCAAGCTTGGTCATCCCATCCCACAGTCATCCCTCTTCAATTCGTGCACCTCCAGCCTTGCAGTTGCTGAGGCTACAGACCTTGCGGTCATCCTTAATGCCTCTTTGTCTTCACAACCCCATCCAGTTCTTCAGGAAATTCTGTCATTCCATCTTGAAAGAATACACAGAACCCACCCACTTCCCCCTGCCCCACTGCGCCACCCAGGTTCTGTCTACCCTCGCCTCGCCTTCCCTTGGGCCATTGCAGCAGTTCCCCACTGTCTCCCAGCTCCCCCTCCCACCCCCTTCTCTTTCCCAGGAGAAGCTGGAGGGAGCCTGTGAATGAATGACTGAGTCAGATCACATTCCTCCCTCCTCTGTTCAAACCTTCCTGTGGCTCCACGCTCAGGGTAACAGTCAAAGTCAAGGAAAGGAAGAAAGGCTGCAGAGGAGTCTGCCCTGCCCTGCCTTGCCCAGCCCAGCCCAGCCCAGCCCAGTGTTTTTTTCCTTTTTTTTTTTTTATTGGAGGTGGAGTCTCGCCCTGTCACCCAGACCAGAGTGTAGTGGCATGATCTCGGCTCACTGCAACCTCCGCATCCCGAGTTCAAGCGATTCTCCTGTCTCAGCCTCCAGAGTAGCTGGGATTACAGGCATATGCCACCATGCCCGGCTAATTTTTATATTTTTAGTAAAGAGGGGTTTTGCCATGTTGGCCAGGCTGGTCTTGAACTCCTGAGCTCAGGTGATCTGCCTGCCTCAGCCTCCCAAAGTGCAGGGATTACGGGCATGAGCCACTCTACCCGGCCAGCCCAGTGTTTTAGTTTTTTGTTTTTGGAGACAGGGTTCTCAATATTTTGCCCAAGTTGAGCTCAGACTCTTGATTCTCCTACCTCAGCCTTCTGAGTAGCTGCGACTGTGAACACGTACCACCACATCCAGCTCAGCCAAGTTTTGTTGATATTGTTCTTGGTGCTGGTGGTGGTGATGGTGTTTGACACAGCAACTCGCTATGTCACCAGGCTGAAGTACAGTGACACCGTTCCAGTTCACTGCAGCCTCAAATTCCTGGGCCCAAATGATCCTCCTGCTTTAGCCTCCCAAGTAGCTGGGACTGCAGGTGCACCCCACCACGCCTGGCTAATTTCTATTTTTTTTTGAGACGGAGTCTCACTCTGTCGCCCAGGCTGGAGTGCAGTGGCACGGTCTTGGCTCACTGCAAGCTCCGCCTCCCTGGTTCACGCCATTCTCATGCCTCAGCCTCCCAAGTAGCTGGGACTACAGGCACCTGCCACCATGCCCAGCTAATTTTTTGTATATTTAGTAGAGACGGGGTTTCACCGTATTAGCCAGGATGGTCTTGATCTCCTGACTTTGTGATCCGCCCACCTCGGCCTCCTAAAGTGCTGGGATTACAGGCGTGAGCCACTGTGCCCGGCAATTGCTAAATTTTTTGTAGAGACAAGTGGTGGGGGTGAGGGGAGTGTGTGGGGGTGGTCTCGCTAGGTTGCTTAGGCTGGCCTGGAACTCCTGGCCTCAAGTGATCCTCCTACCTCAGGGAATGCTGGGATTACAGGCTGGGATTATGTGTGAGCCACCCAAGCCCTGCCTCAACCTAGTTTATGAAACAGTTTAGAGTCAGCTAGCATGGTGGCTCACACCTGTAATCCCAGCACTTTGGGAGGCTGAGGCGGGCAGATCACTTGACACCAGGAGTTTGAGAACAGCCTGGACGACATAATGAAATCCCGTCTTTACTAAAAATACAAAAATTAGCCGGGTGTGGAGGTGCACGCCTATAATCCCAACTACTCGGGTGGCTGAGGCAGGAGAATTGCTTGAACCTGGGAGGTGGAGGTTACAATGAGCTGAGATCACGGCACTGCACTCCAGCCTGGGTGACAGAGCAAGACTGTCTCAAAAAAAAAAAAAGCCTTCGAGTACCCCCCACCTTGCTGTCCCTCAAGCACACCAGGTGCCAAACTCAGCCTCTGATGAGGCCTTTGTACTTGTGAGGTGGAGTCACGACTCCCAGGAACACTTTCCCCAGACACTGAGTCCCTAGGGCTCACAGCCCCATTTCCTATAGGTCTCTGTGGAAATACCACATCCTCAGTGAGACTTTCCCGGATCACCTGATTTAAAATATCATCCCATCGGGCATGGGATGTTCAAGGCCAGCCTGGCAAACATGGTGAAACCCTGTCTCTACAAAAAATACAAAAGATTAGCCAAGTGTGGTGTTGCATGCCAGTGGTCCCAGCTACCTGGAGGGCTGAGGCAGGAGGATCACTTGAGCCCAGGAGGTCGAGGTTGCAGTGAGCTGAGATCGCACCACTGCACTTCAGCCTGGGTGACAAAGTGAGAACCTGTCTCAAAAATATAAATAAAATAAAATATTGCCAGGTGCGGTGGCTCACGCCTGTAATCTCAGCACTTCCGGAGGCCGAGGCAGGCGGATCACAAGGTCAGGAGATCGAGACCATCCTGGCTAACATGGTAAAACCCCGTTTCTACTAAAAATACAAAAAATTAGCTGGGTGTGGTGTCACGCGCCTGTAGTCCCAGCTACTCAGGAGGCTGAGGCAGGAGAATCACTTGAACCCAGGGGGCAGAAGTTGCGGTGAGCTGAGATCGCACCACTGCACTCCAGCCTGGGCAACAGAGGGAGACTCTGTCTCAAAAAAAAAAAAAAAAAAAAAAAAAACCAACCACCATGGTTTATGGTTTCTCCAGCTATGGGAGTTGCAAGGATCCTTCTCTGCTTCTCTGCCTCTGCCAAAGGAACGCGAAGGGATGGATCCAGTGACAGCAGAGGAAGGGGACGAGGCCCAGGCAGCAGCCCGATGTCCTAGGAGATGCCAGGACCTGGCCAAAGACCCCCAGGCGTGTTGGCTGTTTCCAGAGCTGGGCTGGAGTGGGGCAGGGCAGGGCGGTCTCCTCCAGCCTGACTTGAAGAACTAGCTCAGGACTCTTATGCATGGTCTGGCCTGGGGGAAAAACTCCTCAGGGGATGGGCCATCTGCCCCTCGCTGCAGCTCCTGGTGGACTCTGAGAAACCGTCCAGACCAAGTGCTCCCAGATGGAGGCGACAGCCCCAGCCATTGAAGTTTAAATTAAAGCCTCCCTTTAATTGTCAGCCTTGAGGCTACTTCCTGGCAGCCATCTATGGGCAGTGTAGTAATAATAGCTGATGTGTCTATTGATGTCCAAGGGACCAGGAGGGGCTCTGAGAGAAGGGGTATGGCCAGTGGGCCCTACAGGCGTTTTTAGGTTTACCATTGAACCCGTGAGACCTCAGTCAGAATTTATTAAATGCTGTATCCCATTGTTAACACTACTTCAGGGAAGGCAACTAGAGAGGGTGTGTCCTCACAGGGCGGGGACATGAACAAATACTGCAATGTCTAGAGATGTCTCAGGAAGCAGCTGGAGCAGCAGCCCTGAACCCCAAGTGAGCATGACAAGCACCCACCAGGATGGAATTTGGAGACAGAACCAATTTGAGTTTCTTTTATTTTTATTTATTTATTTATTTATTTTGAGATGGAGTCTCGCTCTGTCACCCAGGCTGGAGTGCAGTGGCACAATCTTGGCTCACTGCAACCTCCACCTCCCGGGTTCAAGCAATTCTCCCACCTCAAGTGTCCTGAGTAGCTGGGATTACAGGCACGCGCCACCAGGCCTGGCTATTTTTTTTTTTTTTAAGACAGAGTTTCGCTCTTGTTGCCCAGGCTGGAGTGCAATGGCGCGATCTCGGCTCACCCCAACCTCCACCTCCCAGGCTCAAGTGATTCTCCTGCCTCAGCCTCCCGAGTAGCTGGGATTACAGGCGTGCGCCACCACGCCTGGTTAATTTTGTATTTTTAGTAGAGACGGGGTTTCTCCATGTTGGTTAGGCTGATCTTGAACTCCTGACCTCAGTTGATCCATCCGCCTCGGCCTCCCAAAGTGCTGGGATTACGGGCATGAGCCACTGCGCCCCGGCTATTTTTTAATTTATTATTTATTTATTTATTATTAGTTTTTGAGACGGAGTCTCACTCTGTTGCCCAGGCTGGAGTGCAATGGCATGATCTTGGCTCACTGCAACCTCTGCCTCCCGGGTTCAAGCGATTCTCTTGTCTCAGCCTCCCGAATAGCTGAGACTACAGGCATGCGCCACCACACACAGCTAATTTTTGTGTTTTTTAGTAGAGATGGGGTTTCACTATATTGGACAGGCTGGTCTTGAACTCCTGACCTCATGATCCGCCCACTTCAGCCTCCCAAAGTGCTGGGATTATAGGAGTGAGACACCACGCCCAGCTTATTTTTTTGAGACAAGGTCTCACTCTGTCGTCCAGGCTGAAGTGCAATGGCGTGATCTCAGCTCACTGCAACCTCCACCTCCCTGGTTCAAGCTATTCTCCTGCCTCAGCCTCCTGAGTAGCTGGGATTACAGGCACCCGCCACCAAGCCCAGCTAATTTTTGTATTTTTAGTAGAGGTGGGGTTTCACCACGTTGGCCAGGCTGGTCTCGAACTCCTGGCCTCAGATGATCCACGCGCCTTGGCCTCCAAAGTGCTGAGATTACAGGCGTGAGCCACTGCACCCACCAAGCTGTTCTAAACTCTTTGCAGGCATTAACTACTGACGTGGGTACAATTACTACTTTCCCCAGCTGTAAAACAGGTACAGAGAAGACAACTCACATACCCTGAGGCGGCTGGGCTGGGGAGTGAACTCAGGCAGTTTTTCTCCAGAGCCACCTCCTAGCTGTTCGGAGTATGAATGACCCTCTGATAGTGAAAGCAGCCCAGTGAGGCAGGATGAGATGTGGCTCCCAGAGGAGGGGAAAAAGGTCATTTCCTCTTCCCTTGCAGAGCAGCCATGGCCAATTGTGCAGGTTGTATCCTGCATAAGGGCACCTGCCAAGTGGGTAACTGGGAGTTGTCCCCACCCAGAAGGGGTGCCTTTTGCTAATGTGCCCAAGTTCATGGGTGGTAGAGGCATCCCAGTCCTTTTTATTATTATTTTTTTGAGGCAGTTTCGCTCTTGTTGCCCAGGCTGGAGTGCAATGGCGCGATCTCGGGTCACTGCAACTTCTGCCTCCCGGGTTCAAGCGATTCTCCTGCCTCACCCTCCCAAGTAGCTGGGAATACAGGCGCCCGCCACCACGCCCGGCTAATTTTGTATTTTTAGTAGAGACGGGGTTTCACCATGTTGGTCAGGCTGTTCTCAAACTCCTGACCTCAGGTGATCTGCCTACCTCGGCCTCCCAAAGTGCTGGGATTACAGGCATGAGCCACTGTGCCAGGCCTCCCAGTCCTTTTTATCCCAGTGAGCTGCAGAGGCACACTTTTGTTCAGTCCCCAGGATTTAGGCACTCCCTGGCTACTGGGGCCCTGCTGAGGTCTGGGCCCCAGGGCAAGGGGTGTCTGCTCCCACAGGCAGGGCCCTCTGAGGAATGCTGGCTGTGAGTGCACACAGGGAGGTCAGGCCGGCTGGCAGCTTGGGTACCACAGCTGCCCTCTCCAAGGCAACGCTTATGCACACCAGCATCCATCAATAAATCACCAAGGGGCAGCTGCCAGTCTACTCTAAGTAATGAACATCTATTAGGGCATTTCTTTTCCTTTTTTGGAGACAGGGTCTTGCTGTCACCTGGGCTGGTGTGCAGTGGTGCAATCATAGCTCATTGCAGCCTCAAACTCCTGGGTAGCCAGGACTACAGGCACATACCACTGTGCCTGGCTAATTTTTACTTACTTACTTTTTTTTTTTAATTTATTTTTTTGAGACGGAGTCTAGCTCTGTCGCCCAGGCTGGAGTGCAGTGGTGCGATCTCAGCTCACTGCAAGCTCCGCCTCCCGGGTTCATGCCATTCTCCTGCCTCAGCCTCCAGAGTAGCTGGGACTACAGGCGCCTGCCTAATTTTTTTGTAGTTTTAGTAGAGACGGGGTTTCACCGTGTTAGCTAGGATGGTCTCGATCTCCTGACCTCGTGATCTGCCCACTTCGGCCTCCCAAAGTGCTGGGATTACAGGCGTGAGCCACCGCGCCTGGCCAACTTACTTATTTTTGAGACAGGGTCTCACTCTGTTACCCAGGCTGGAGTGCAGTGACGCCATCTTGGCTCACTGCAACCTCTGCCTCCCAGGCTCAAGTGATCCTCCCACCTTAGCCTCCAGAGTAGCTGGGATTACATGTGTGTACCACCATGCCTGGCTATTTTCTTTTGTAGTTTTTTGTAGAGACAGGGTTTCACCATGTTGCCCAGACTCGCCTCGAACTCCTGAGGTCAAGCAATCCATCTGCCTTGGCTTCCCAGTGTTGGGATTACAGGCGTGAGCCACTGTGCCTGGCCAGGCCCAGTTAATTTTAAAACTTTTATAGGAACAGGGTCTCGCTTTGTTGACCTGGTCTCGAACTCCTGGCTTTCAGCAATCCTCCTGCTGCAGCCTCCCACTGTTGGAATTACATGCATGGACCGCCATGCCCAACCTGAGCTAATTTTTACTTTTGCGTAGAGGGATTCCAGTCATCCTCCTCCCTTAGCCTCCCAAAGTGCTGGGATTACAGGCATAAACCAGCCTCTACTGGGTCTTTTTAATTCCTGCATTCCCCCAACCCCCTAGCCCTCCAGGCAATATGCTCACAGGGGAAAAGCACTGCCTAAGGGCCACTGGGAGTGCCCCAAATTCCTCAGGTAAGAAGGGAATGAACATGTAAGGTGAGTCAGGTCTCCTGTCAGGTAACACTAACCAGGGGAGCGGCATGCGACTTGGAAAGAATGGTGTGGCTGAAGGAGCTGTCTACCTATGACACCTTGAGAGGAAAAAATATATATATACTAATTTTCTCATGAAGTCTCTCCATACAGAATAGTACTGAGGACTAGCTTGCAACCTTGGTGACAAACACTTCTGAGCCTGAAATTAACAATGGCTTATATTTTCTTTTTTGAGACAGGGTCTGTCACCCAAGCTGGAGTGCAGTGGTGTGATCACAGCTCACTGCAGCCTTGACCTCCTGGGCTCAGGTGATTTGCCGACCTCAGCCTCCTAAATAGCTGGGACTACAGACACGCGCCACCATGCCTAGCTATTTAAAATAAACTTTTTGGTCAGGCGCGGTGGCTCACGTGTGTATTCCTAGCACTTTGGGAGGTCGAAGCAGGGAGACTGCCTGAGCCCAAGAGTTCGAGACCAGCCTGGGCAACACGATGAAACCCCATCTCTACTAAAATACAAAAAAATTAGCCGGGCGTGGAGGTGTGTGCCTGTAGTCCCAGTTACTTGGGAGGCTGAGGCAGAAGAATTGCTTCAACCTGGGAGGCAAAGGTTGCAGTGAGCTGAGATCGCGCCACTGCACTCCAGCCTGGGCGACAGAGTGAGACTCTGTCTCTAAAAAAAAAAAAAAGAAAAAGAAAAAGAAAAAAAAAAAATATATATATATATATATATATATATATTGAGACGGAGTCCCACTCTGTCGCCCAGGCTGGTCTCAAACTCTGGCCAAGCAATCCTCCTGCTTTGGCCTCCTAAAGTGTTGGGATTACAGGCGTGAACCACTGCACCCGGCCTGTGGCTCACATTTTCTAAGAGCAAGGACAGGACAGGACAGGCCCCAATCTCAGGCCTTTACTGGCAAGGGCCGGAGAAACCCTCACAGGTTTCAGAAGGGTGCATTATTCTTCCCCTTCTGCAGATGAAGAAACTGAGAATTAGAGAGGCACAATCCCGGCTGGGCGCGGTGGCTCACGCCTGTAATCCCAGTACTTTGGGAGGCCGAGGCAGGCAGATTACAAGGTCAGGAGATCAAGACCATCCTGGCTAACACGGTGAAACCCTGTCTACTAAAAATACAAGAAATTGGCCGAGCATGGTGGCGGGCGCCTGTAGTCCCAGCTACTCTGGAGGCTGAGGCAGGAGAATGGCATAAACCCGGGAGGTGGAGCGTGCAGTGAGCCGAGATCGCGCGACTGCACTCCAGCCTGGGCGACAGAGCGAGACTTCGTCTAAAAAAAAAAGAGGCACAGTCCCTTGACCAAGGTCACAAAGCAAGAGCCACCATCAAGACAGAGGGAAACTTCACCTTCACTCCTCCCAGAGGTGCTCAGCCTCCACCACAGGGCTGGGCTGCCACATCCCATTCATACTCCCTCCTCCTTGCTGACTCAATGCTGCCCTCCCCACCCAAGACCTAAAAGGTCAGGAAGGTAGGGTGGGGCAAGGGAGGAAGTCGAAGCAGGGGAAAAAGGAGGCGGAAACCCCGCCATGGGGTGTGGTGTGGTGGGGGCTGGGGGTACGGTGCGGGGGCCAACCCAGAGCAGAGGCCTGCTCCTGAGCTCCCTCTGGTGGGCAAGGGGCAGAGGCAGGAAGCCAGGGAGGAGACAGTAGGGCTGAGTCAACACATCTTTATTAAACACCTGAAGTTACTGGGAGGAGGCCATGATGCTGGACACACCTGTGGGGAAGGAGAGACCAGACTGAAGGTGAGAAGGGCGGGAGACAAACCTCCAGCCACCTGCTACAGCACCCACAATTCTTTAGGGGGAGATCATAAACTCCTTCCAGGCCCCAGTTACCATCACAAAGGCAGTTTGGTGCAGTATTTTAAAAAGATGGACTCTGGAGCAAGGAGGGCTAGGTTCAAATCCCAGCTCTGCCAATTAACAGCTGGGTCACTTGGACAAGTTACTGAACATCTCTGAGCATCACCTACCTTCCTATCTTTAAGAAGCACCTACCTTATAGGATTGTAGGACCAAACGAGGTGCTTAGAACAAAGTGCCAAGGAAGTGTTGTTTGTAATTACCTACATGATAATATTTACTAGGTACTATTTGCAGGATACTCTTAAGTTTTTTTTTGAGACACAGTCTCATTCTGTTGCCCAGGCTGTAGTGCAGTGGAGCGATCTTGGCTCACTGCAACCTCCACCTTCCGGGTTCAAGTGATTCTCCTGCCTCAGCCTCCTGAGTATTTTGAACCTATCCTGTTTGACCCAGGACACAGAGCAATGGAGCCAGAACTGAGACAGAGGGAACCCTCCCGTCTACTCCCCCGGCAGGGCTGGGCTCCTACTTCCCTGAGATTCACACCTTCCTCCTCCTTTTCCTTGTTGACTCAGCACTGCCCTCTCCACCTGTGACCTAAAAGGTCAGGAAGGTGGGGTGGGGCAACAGAAGCCAAAGGGGAGAAGAAAGGAGGCCCTTTCCTCACTACAGAATCTTTTGCTGGAGTTCTCACTGAGAACCCCGACACAGCAGTCACGCGGCGTTTAGAGGTGAGATACCACGGGCTGCAAGTGCGCAGATGGCTGCCTGCTCAATGCTGTTCCCCAGTTAAGTACAAAATTAGCTGGTTTGTGTTAAGAAACCACGTTGTACCAAACACATCTTTAAAACACCTGAATCACACTCAAGCGGGTGGGGGAGACCCGGGATGAAGGCAGCAGCCCGCCTGTGCCTTTCTCCCTGGCTCCAGGACATCTGCTCAGTGCCATGATGAGCGGCAGTGAAGCAGCACCCGCTGCCGGAGTAGCCACTGCAATCTTTTTAGTTGAGCAAGCAGTTGAGCCTGTGTTAGTTACATGTGTGTAGACGATGGTCATAATGAACATTTAATGAACTGTGTGGTCACTTAGCTCTTTGCTAAGTGTTATACATGCATTCACACTTATGATGCCATGAGGTAGGTATGATACTATTTATATCATTTAGCAACTGAGGATCAAATGATGTAAGTGTAAGGACCTACACAGTGTTTATCATAGTTACTGTTGCAGTCGTCCCCATTTTTTAGATGAGAAAACTGAGGCACAAAAATGTGGAATCACCCAAACTAGAGAATCAAGATTCCTACTGTTCACCGGATTCCAAGTCTGCACATGAGGCTTGGGCACCCCAAGAATAAAAGATGGCCAACGAGACAGGCCTCAGGGACAAATAAGGGTGCAGAGACCCCCTGTGAGGCCCCGCTGGGCCCCAGGAAGTCTTGCTGAGTGCTATGGGGCAGGACACAGGGCCTAGAAGTTCCAGGGAAGATCACCCAGCTCCCCGCTATTCCTCCTGGGCGGGAGCCCCAAGACACAAGGTGAATGGAATCTGGCAGGTGCAGACTTCCCAGCCCAGAACACGAGCAGATCTACCCAGGTCCTCTGGGCCCCTGCCTCGGCCTCCCTTGAGGGGCACCCCCTTAGCCCCAAAGCCCGAGGCCGTGGGTCACCACTCACTGTCAAAGTCAATCTTCTCCACAATGTTCTTGGGTTTAATGCTCTCTTCTTGGCTACAGATGAAGATCTGCCCCGACTCGTCGGCACTCCAGCCGTATTTGCTCATCCACACCTTTAGCTGGCTGTCTGCAGGTGACAGGGGCAGCAAGGGGCTTCAGTCAGCCTGATCCCACAGTTCCAGGGGACTGAGAGGCAACAGAGTCATGGCTCAGGAAGCCAGGGCAGCCCCCCTTGCCCACTGACATCTCCTGGACAGCAGCAGCTGGCCTGGTCTCCTTGCTTCCGCCCCTGCCCTTCCACGGGTCATTCTCTGAATGGCCGCCAGAGGGAGCCTGTGAGCTCTTTCAGCCTCATCGTGGGGCTTCTGCCTTAATTTCTATTCCTCTGTTTTCTCTCCCTGGGCAAATTTTGGTTCCTAACAAGAGCAGCGTATTTATCTACCTTTTCCCACAACCTATATGAAACGGTTGCAAAATTATAACATGACCATTACCAGAAACAATACACTTTTTTTTTTTTGAGACGGAGTTTTTGCTCTTGTTGCTCAGGCTGGAGTGCAATGGCGCAATCTCGGCTCACTGCAACCTCCACCTCCCAGGTTCAAGCAATTCTCCTGCCTCAGCCTCCCGAGTAGCTGGGATTATAGGCATGCGCCACCACGCCTGGCTAATTTTGTATTTTTAGTAGAGATGGGGTTTCTCCATGTTGGTCAGGCTGGTCTCGAACTCCCGACCTCAGGTGATCCGCCCACCTTGGCCTCCCAAAGTGCTGGGATTACAGGTGTGAGCCACCGTGCCAAGTCCTGGCCAACGTGGTGAAACCCCATCTCTGCTAAAAAAAAAAAAAAAAAAAAAATTAGCTGGGCGAGGTGGCAGAGGCCTATAGTCTCAGCTATTTGGAAGGCTGAGGCAGGAGAATTGTTTGAAACCAGGAGGAGGTTGCAGTGAGCCGAGATTATGCCACTGCATTCCAGCCTGGGTGACAGAGCCAGACTCCACCTCAAAAAAAAAAAAAAAAAAAAAAAAAAAGTTAGCTTTTACTTGGCTGGATGCAGCGGCTCACGCCTGTAATCCCAGTACTTTGGGAGGCCAAGGTGGGCAGATCACTTGAGGTCAGGAGTTCAAGACCAGCCTGGCCAACATGGTCAAACTCCTTCTCTACTAAAAGTGCCCAGAGTGGAATGCAGTGGTGTGATCTTGGCTCACTGCAACCTCTGCTCCTGGGCTCAAGCGGTTCTCCTGCCTCAGCCTCCCGAATAGCTGGGATTACAGGCACATGCCAACACGTCCAGCTAATTTTTGTATTTTTAGTAGAGACGGGGTTTCCCCATGTTGGCCAGGCTGGTCTCGAACTCCTGACCTCACGTGATCTGCCTCCCTCACTGGTATGAGCCATCACACGTGGCCTTCCTTAGTTTCTTTTTTTTTTTAGATGGAGTTTCGATCTTATCACTAGTGCAATGGTGCGATCTCAGCTCACTGCAACCTCCGCCTCCTGCGTTGAAGCAATTCTCCTGCCTCAGCCTCCCAAGTAGCTGGGATTACAGGTGCACGCCACCACACCCAGCAATTTTTTGTATTTTTAGTAGAGAGGGGGTTTTACCATGTTGGGCAGGCTGGTCTCGAACTCCTGACCACAGATGATCCGCCCACCTCGGCCTCCCAAAGTGCTGGATTACAGGCGGGAGCCACCGCACCCGGCCTTCCTTAGTTTCTTGACTTCCTTTTCTACGTTTCTTTTTACAAAAGTAAGCAAATAAGTTATTTTTTCTTTTTTTGTTCTTGGGGGGATCTTTAAAAAATATCCATCTGATCAGAGCCCTACCCTGCTCAGAGCCCTCCGGTGGCTCCTTCTCAGTCAGGGGAAAGGACAAGGTCCTCCCGAGGCCCCACATGACCTGGAAATGCCCCTCCAACCCCCAGCTCTCTACTTTCGCCCATGCTTACTCTGCTCTGGCCACATACACCCTGGCTACCCATGAACGTTACAAGTCAGGGCCCTGCTCTACTATCCTCCTCTGCACTACCTCAGGCCACGGGCCTCTCTCTACGGAGGTAAGGGCTCAGATGCCGCTGGTCTGTGAGCTGTCTTGCTTTCCTTCATGACAGGAATCACCACTGGACACCTCCATGTCGCCATGTGCTTTGCTACCTCCATGAGAATGAATTGGAGCCATCCCACTTTGTTTACTGCTGCACGCCCAGTTTAGCACACTGACACACGGTAGGCACTCAATTAATGCAAAATAAATGAGCAAATGGCATAGGATCTCCCTCAAGGCAGAGACTGTCTTATACCAAGTTCTTATTTCCTCCTTGGGCTGGGCCTTCCATGCTGACCTGATGAGACCCAGACAGGCCTGTTGGAGGAGCTGACTGAGGTCCACTGCCCTAGCCACCCCCAACCTCCCAGATGTGCACCAGGACCCAGAGGGCGTTACCCGACAGATCCCCGAGCATCTCGGCCAGCAGCCAGCGGTCAATGTGCTGGTAAGTGATACCCACAACATGGCAGATAACTGTGGAGGTCAGAGACAAAACCGGTGAGCAGCTGTCCCCCCGGACCTGGCTGCCACTCCCTACCCCTTCCCCTTGGGGAGCCCAGCCTCAGAGAGGGACTTACACTTTCGGACAGAGTCTTCAAAGCCAGTTATACCTTCCAAGAGGTCCATGTTTTCATCCAGGGCTTGCTGTGATGGGAATTGATGTTCACAATGTTTATTCTTTTAAATTATTTGCTTTTATTTTTATTTATTTATAGAGATGGGGTCTCACTACGTTGCCCAGGCTGGTCTTGAATTTCTGGGCTCAAGTGATCTTCCTGCCTCAGCCCCCCAAAGTGCTAAGATTTTGTTGCTGCTGTTGTTACATAGACGAGGTCTCACTATATTGCCCAGGCTGATCTCAAACTCCTGGGCTCAAGTGATCTGCCCACGCTGGCCTCTCAAAGCGTTGGGATTACAGGGGTGAGCCACCACTCCCAGCCTACACTGGTAATCTTACCTATCAACAACGTTCTTATCAGTAATGTGTGGGGAAAAGAAAGATCAGATTGTTACTGTGTCTGTGTAGAAAGAAGTAGACACAGGAGACTCCATTTTATTCTGTACTAAGAAAAATTCTTCTGCCTTGAGATGCTGTTAATCTGTAACCTTACCCCGTGCTCCCTGAGACATGTGCTGGGTCAACTCAGGGTTAAATGGATTAAGGGCGGTGCAGGATGTGCTTTGTTAAACAGATGCTTGAAGGCAGCATGCTCCTTGAGAGTCATCACCACTCCCTAATCTCAAGTACCCAGGGACACAAACACTGCGGAAGACCGCAGGGACCTCTGCCTAGGAAAGCCAGGTATTGTCCAAGGTTTCTCCCCATGTGATAGTCTGAAATATGGCCTCGTGGGAAGGGAAAGACCTGACAGTCCCCCAGCCCGACACCCGTAAAGGGTCTGTGCTGAGGAGGATTAGTAAAAGAGGAAGGAACGCCTCTTTGCAGTTGAGACAAGAGGAAGGCATCTGTCTCCTGCCCGTCCCTGGGCAATGGAATGTCTCGTGTAAAACCCGATTGTATGTTCCATCTACTGAGATAGGGGGAAACCGCCTTAGGGCTGGAGGTGGGACACGCGGGCAGCAATATTGCTCTTCAAGGCATTGAGATGTTTATGTGTATGCACATCAAAAGCAAAGCACTTAATTCTTTACCTTGTTTATGATGCAGAGACCTTTGTTCACGTGTTTACCTGCTGACCTTCTCTCCACTATTATCCTATGACCCTGCCACATCCCCCTCTCCGAGAAACACCCAATAATGATCAATAAATACTAAGGGAACTCAGAGGCCGGTGGGATCCTCCGTGTGCTGAACGCGGTCCCCTGGGCCCCCTTTTCTCTTTCTCTATACTTTGTCTCTATGTCTCTTTTCCAAGTCTCTCATTCCACCTAACGAGAAACACTCCCAGGTGTGGAGGGGCAACCCACCCCTTCAGTAATGTTAACAAGAATAGCAGCTACCAGGCCATGTGTGGTGGCTCACACCTATAATCCCAGCACTTTGGGAGGCTGAGGTGGGTGGATCACTTGAGGTCAGGAGTTCGAGACTACCCTGGCCAACAGGGTGAAACCCTGTCTCTACTAAAAATAAAGAAATCAGCCAGGCACAGTGGCTCATGCCTGTAATCCCAGCACTTTGGGAGGCTGAGGCGGGCGGATCACCTGAGGTCGGGAGTTCGAGACCAGCCTGACCAACATGGAGAAACCCTGACTCTACTAAAATTACAAAATTAGCAGGGCGTGGTGGCACATTCCTGTAATCCCAACTACTGAGGAGGCTGAAGCAGGAGAATCGCTTGAACCCAGGAGATGGAGGTTGTGGTGAGCCGAGATCACACCATTGCATTCCAGACTGGGCGACAGAGGGAGGCTCTGTCTCAAAACAAAACAAAACAAAAAACAACAAACAAACAAAAAACAGAAATTAGGCTGGCTGGGCGTGGTGGCTCAAACCTGTAATCCCAGCACTTGGGGAGGCTGAGACGGGCGATCGTGAGGTCAGGAGATCGAGACCATCCCGGCTAACATGGTGAAACCTCGTCTCTACTAAAAATACAAAAAATTAGCCAGGTGTGGTGGCATGTGCCTGCAGACCCAGCTACTCGGGATGCTGAGGCAGAAGAATCACTTGAACCCAGGAGGCAGAGGTTGCAGTGAGCTGAGATTGTGCCACTGAACTCCAGCCTGGGCGACAGCGCGAGACTCCATCTCAAAAAAAAAAAAAAATAAATAAATAAATAAATAATTAAACCGGGTGTGGTGGTGGATGCCTGAAATCTGTAATCCCAGCCACTTGGGAAGATGAGGCAGAAGAATCACTTGAACCTGGGAGGCAGAGGTTGCAGCGAGCCAAGATCATATCACTGCACTCTAGCCTGGGCGACAGAGCCATACTCCATTTCAGAAAAAAAAAAAAAGCAGCTACCACTTTGAGCACTGACCCCACATGCTATAGCCATTCTTCTAAGTGTAGCCATGTGATGTAAGTTATATCCATTTTAGAGATGAGGAGACCAGGGCAGCTACATGATTTTCCAAAAATCCTGGAGGTGAGGCTTGAACCTGGCAGGCAGAAACCAGAGCCCTGAGAAAGGGGGCAGACACATATTGGCTAAGTGTATTCAGCCACCTCCCCTTGCTTCTGTCTCACTCAGAGAAAAGGCCAATTTTCCTACCATAGCCCATTAGGCCACACAGAATCTGCCTGTCACCTCTGTGCCCTCACCTCCACCTACTCGCTACTCACTCACCCTGCTCCAGCCACAGGGGCTTCCCTGCTGCTCCCCAAACCCGCCAGACACCCGCCTACCTCAGGGCCTGTGTATGGAATTCTCCTCCATGGCTACCACCCTCACCTCCTTCAGATTTCTGCTCAAAGGTTAGGTCTGTGGTATAGGTTCTCTCCAACAAAAGGGAGGGAATCCCCCACATGGATGCCGGGAAGGTGTAGCCAGTGAGGTGGGCAGAAATCCAGATTTGTGGCCGGGCGTGGTGGCTCAACCTGTAATCCCAGCACTTTGGGAGGCGAGGCAGGAGGATCACTTGAGGCCAGAAGTTCAAGACCAGCCTGGTCAACATGGCGAAATCCAACCTCTACTACAAATAGAAAAATTAGCCAGGCGTGTTGGCGTGGGCCTGTTAGTCCCAGCTACTCAGGAGGCTGAAGTGCGGGGATCACTTGAGCCTGGGAGGTCAAAGCTGCAGTGAGCTGTGTTTGCATCACTGCACTGCGGCCTGGGCGACAGAGTGAGACCCTGTCTCAAAAAACAAAACAAAACAAAACAAAACAAAACAAAACAAAACAAACAAACAAAAAAAACCTGTCTATCTGTTCCATGGAATAGGTCTAAGATCTCCAACACATCTCATTTGCTAGTTTGCTAGTGAGAACAGTTGTAGAACTAGTAAACTCTATTATTTTAAGCATTTGATCATTTTCTTTGTGGGATTAACTGAAGCTAATCAATAATTTCTTACTTGAATAAAAAATAAAATGTTTAAGAATTAAAAAAAAAAGTGTGCAGTCAGCTGCACATAAAATGTCAGGGTCTGGGATAGGAACAGGTGCAATTTCTACAGTGGCTGCTTCCATTTTCTCCCGAGACAAGAAGCCAGATCATAAGTTGAGGTGAGAAGAAAGGGAGACAGATAAAGCATGAGGAAACATCCAGGAGTTGGGGAAGGAAGCAAGACCGTAGCTGCAGCTGGGGACAGGGGAGTCACATGCGACATTTTTTCTCTTTTTTTTTTTTGAGATGGAGTTTCGCTCTTTTTCAGACTGGAGTGCAATGGCATGATCTCGGCTCACCGCAATCTCCGCCTCCCAGGTTCAAGCAATTCTCCTGCCTCAGCCTCCCGAGTAGCTGGGATTACAGGCATGCGCCACCACGCCCGGCCAACTTTGTATTTTTAGTAGAGATGGGGTTTCTCCACGTTGGTCAGGCTGGTCTCGAACTCCTGACCTCAGGCGATCCATCCACCTCGGCCTCCCAAAGTGCTGGGATTACAGGTGTGAGCCACCATGCCCAGCCAGCACATGCGATTTAAGAGAAGGAAGCGGAACAGAGAAGCCTGCAGAGAAAGAGGGTTGGAGCTAATGGTCAGGCCCAAGAATGTGGGGATGGAGACCCTGTGGGGGTGAGCTGAGAAGCTAGGAGGAAGCGGTCAGAGAATGGAGATGCTGGAAACTCACAGAGGGAGGAGGGGAGCCATTATTGGTGACGGCAGTGGCTCCCAACATTGGCCAGATGTCCAAATCACCCAGGGTAACCTTTTAAAATCCCAAGGCCTAGGCTACACTGAAGCAATTACATCAGACTCTGTGAGGGAGGACCCAAGTATCAGTATTAATTTTTAAAAATGCCTCAGAGGTCCGGGCGTGGTGGCTGACACCTGTAGTCCCAGCACTTTGGAAGGCCAAGGCGGGCAGATCACTTGAGGTCAGTAGTTCGAGACCAGCCTGGCCAACATGGTGAAACCCCGTCTCTACTAAAAATACAAAAATTAGCCGGCGGGGTGGTGCATGCCTGTAGTCCCAGCTACCTGGGAGGCTGAGACAGGAAAATTGCTTGAACCCAGCAGGCAGAGGTTGCAGTGAGTTGAGATTGTGCCACTGCATTCCAGCCTGGGTGACACAGCGAGACATGGTCTCAAACAAAAAAAAAAAAAGGAAAGAAAATAAATGCCTCAGAGGTCTAATGTGCAGAGAACTGGCCTGGGGTATGATTGGAAGAGAAGGGCTGAGGTCAGGTGTAGCACAAGATAGCTGGCCAAGAGAGCAAGGGACCCAGAGGTCTGGGTGGTCAAAGGATCCTCTGTGTTACTTTCTAAGCGTCTAAGAATTAGGGCAGGAGTGGTAGAGAGCGCCAGTGAGAAGGAGCTGAATTTTTTTTTTTTTTGAGACGGAGTCTCACTCTGTCACCCAGGCTGGAGTGCAACGGCATGATCTCAGCTCACCATAACCTCTGGGTGAGGTTGAACCCACTGGGTTCAAGTGATTCTCCTGCCTCAGCCTCCCGAGCAGCTAGGATTACAGGCATGTGCCACCTCACCCAGCTAATTTTGTATTTTTAGTTAAGACAGTATTTCTCCACGTTGGTCAGGCTGGTCTCGAACTCCCGACCTCAGGTGATCCACCTGCCTCGGCCTCCCAAAGTGCTGGGATTACAGGCGTTGAGCCACCGTGGCCAGCCAGGGGCTGAATTCTTCAAGAAACAAAGAGCAGTCACCAGAGGGACTGATACCGGGCAGGAAGTGACGACACACACACTTCAAAACTGGGGGTTTCTGGCCCGGCGTGGTGGTTCACGCCTATAATCCCAGCACTTTGGGAGGCTGAGGCAGGCAGATCACCTGAGGTCAGGAATTCAAGACCAGCCTGGACAACATGGCAAAACCCCGTCTCTACTAAAAATACAAAAATTAGCCAGCGTGATGGCACATGCCTGTAACCCCAGCCACTTAGGAGGCTGAGGCACGAGAATCAGTTGAACTCGGGAGGCGGCAGTTGCAGTAAGCCAAGATCGCGCCACTGCACTCCAGCCTGGGCAAGACTGAGACTCTGTCTCAAAAATAAAACAAAATAAAATAAAAAATACATATAAAATTTAGTTGGGCATGATGGCGTGTGCCTGTAGTACTAGCTACTCGGGAGACAGGAGAATCACTTGAACCCGGGAAGCAGAGGTTGCAGTGAGCCAAGATCGTGCCACTGTACTACAGCCTAGGCAATGGCGTGAGACTCCATCTCAAAAAAACCAAAAAACAAACAAACAAAAAACAACAAAAAAGACTGAGGGTATCAGAAGAGATAGGAGCCAGGAGGTGATCTAGCCTCCCACTTAGGGGGCTGCAGAAGTGGGGGGCCAGGTTCCAGTTAGAGCAAGAAGGGCAGAGCATGTCAGACAGGTAGAAGAGACGGAGAATTTCTCTTTCTTGAGACAGGGTCTTGCTCTGTTGCCCAGGCTGGAGTGCAGTGGTGTGATCACGGCTCACTCGCAGCCTCAAGCGATCCTCCCACCTTAGCCTCCTGGGTAGCTGGGAGTACAGGCACATGCCACCACACCCAATTAATTTTCAATTTTGTAGAGATGAAGTTTCACTATGTTGCTCAGGCTGGTCTGGAACTCCTGGCCTCAAGCAATCCTCCCACCTTGGCCTCCACAAGTACTGGAATCACGGGGGTGAGTCACTACACCCAGCCACTGGAGGACTTCTGATCAACGGTGTGTACTAGAGGGCTCAGTGGAAAGATGGGAGAAAGGGGAAAGGGTCGGCCTCAGCCTGTGGGCACGGGGATGACCTGTGAGTACCTGCTCCGCGAGAGGATGATAATTCCACAAACACACACATGCAGAGCACTGGGCCCACCGCCAAAGCAGGAAGCCAGTCAGTGTGCACCGTTGTTACTTTTAGCACTCAGCTCCACATGGCCCTGCCATCTCCCCTGCCCCTGGACCCCAGGGAAGTTACCCAGAAGGCCTGGAAATGGCAGGTCTCCAGCAGGTCCCCGAGGTACAAAATCTGTCGGATTGGCCGTTCTTCTTGCTGGGAGGAGGAAGCATTAAGGAAAACTGGCCTCGGAGCGTAAGGTTGGACCCCAGATCACCCCTCCCCACCTACCTTCTTCTGGCTGCTTTCTTCCAAAGCTTCAGCTCAGAAAAACAGCTGGAAAAGGAAGCCAGCTTATTTCTCCTGCAGGTGTATGCAGGAGAAAGGATGTTGGCTGCAGGACTGTTTGTAATGGCAAAAGATGAGAAATGACATGCCAGTCCTGGTGGCTCACGCCTGTAATCCTGGCACTTTGGGAGGCCAAGGCGGGTGGATCACCTGAGGTCAGGAGTTCGACACCAGCCTGGCCAACATAGCGAAACCCCATCTCTACTAAACATACGAAAAGCAGCTGGGTGTGGTGGCACGTGCCTATAGTCCCAGCTACTTGGGAGGCTGAGGCAGGAGAATCACTTGAACCCGGGAGGAGGAGGTTGTAGTGAGCCAAGATCACGCCTTTGCACGCCAGCCTGGATGACAGAGCAAGACTCCATCTCAAAAAAAAAGAAAATATTAACAAAAAAACCCTACTATTATTACTAATAAAATAAAACCTATAGGCTGGGCACGGTGGCTCACATCTGTAATCCTATCACTTTGGGAGGCTGAGGCGGGTGGATCACCTGAGGTCAGGAGTTCGAGAGCAGCCTGGCCAACATAGCAAAACCCCGTCTCTACTAAAAATACAAAAATTAGCTGGGCGTGGTAGCATGCATGCACCTGTGGTCCCAGCTGCTCAGGAGGCTGAGACAGAATAGCTTGAACCTGGGAGGTGGAAGTTGCAGGAAGCCGAGATCACGCCACTGCACTCCAGACTGGGTGACAGAGCAAGGCTCCGTCTCAAAAAAAAAATAAAATAAATAAAATAAAACAACAACAAAAAAAAACCCACCTTAAATCATTCCTATGTCAGGCTTCCTCTACCATTCCTGAAAGACAGCACCGAGCTCTGCTTCCTTTAGCCCATGAGTGTCCTCTCTGCCTGGATCACCTTTGCCTACCCCTCCACCTAACTCGTTATGTTTTAGATGTTCCCTCCTCCAGGAGGCCCTGGTTTATAGTTTCTAGTTAAAAATACAGAAGAGTGAACAGTGGCAAAATAGGTCTTCCCTTCCCTGTCTCACAGCCATCCTTCCTGGGAGGTAACAGTCATTTCCAATTCTTGGGTACCTTTCCACCTTTCCAGACATTGTTCTATAGAATGTAAATACAGATGGCTGTGTTCATGTCCACATATTCCCCCACCCAAATGGTCAGGTGCCTACTCTGGCTCTTCTTTTTTTTTTTGAGACAGAGTCTCACTGTGTCACCCAGGGTGGAGTGCAGTGGCGCAATCTCGGCTCACTGCAACCTCCATCTCCCAGCTTCAAGTGATCCTCCTGCCTCAGCCTCCTGAGTAACTGGGACTATAGGTGTGTGCCACTGTGCCTGGCTAATTTTTTGTATTTTAATAGAGATGGGGTTTCGCCATGTTGGCCAGGCTGGTCTCGAACTCCTGACCTCAGGTGATCCACCCACCTTGACCTCTCAAAGTGCCGGGATTAGAGGCCTGAGTCATTGTGCCCGGCTGCTGTGACTCTTGTAACCCAACCCTGACCACTCCAGTCTATCACTGACTCTTCACTGGACTGCGACAACTTTGTGAAGACAGGGCCCAGGACTGTCTCAGTCACCAGTGTCCCAGCACTGTCCAGCACCTTGCCACGCTGGACCAGAGCAGGCACTTGTTGTTTGTGGATACACCCACAGACCATCTCCCTGGGAATTCATGCACCTTGACTCTGACCCCTTCCCACACACCCCCCGGCCCCAGTGCTGGAAGGATACATGTGCCTGGTCGATCATGCACTTGCACAGGGTGAAGTCTGTGTGCGGCAAGTTGGTGAGGGCCTTCAGCAGGATCTGGGCGGTGACCGTGGTCTGAAAGAAGGCTGGGTTGAACTGGTACCTAAGAAAAAGAACAAGAGACGTGGCCACAGTGGCACCTCCAAGTCCCCAATCCTCACCAGGTGCCAGGCAGCTGCTTTATTCTGGAGTTTGGGAATTGGACATGCCTGGGTTCCAATCCCAGTCCCAGTGCTTCCCAGCTGTGTAACCTTCACCTCCCTGAGCCTACCTTTCTCCTCTGTGAACAGGGACAGTTAATGCTCACAACTACCCAATGGGGCAGACACTGCTAAGTGATTTATAAACAAATGAGAACAGCAGCAGTGGTCTGGAGTAGTGGCTAAGGAACCAGAGCCAGACTGCCTCGGTTTAAACTTCCCTGCTGAGTGACCTTGGACTGCTTATTTATGACACGAGGAGCAGAGAAGAGAGAGATTAAGAGGCACTGAAAGGCTGAGGAGCAGAGAAAGGAAACTGAGGGGCTGACGGTTTCCTCCCTTGCAAAAGAGGACAACAGAAGGTGGCGGTGGGGGTGGGTAGGTGGGTGGCTCAAGCCTGTAATCCCAGCACTTTGGGAGGCCGAGATGGGCGGATCACCTGAGATCAGGAGTTCGAGACCAGCCTGGCCAACATGACAAAGCCCCGTCTCTACTAAAAATACAAAAATTAGGCTGGGTGCAGTGGCTCACGCCTGTAATCCCAGCACTTTGGGAGGCCAAGGCGGGTGGATCACCTGAGGTCAGGAGTTCGAGACCAGCCTGGCTAACATGGCAAAACCCTGTCTCTACTAAAAATACAAAAATTAGCTGGGTATGGTGGTGCGTACCTGTTGCGGGAAGTCAGGGACCCCAAACGGAGGGACCGGCTGAAGCCATGACAGAAGAACGTGGATTGTGAAGATTTTATGGACATTTATTAGTTCCCCAAATTAATACTTTTGTAATTTCTTATGCCTGTCTTTACTGCAATCTCTAAACATAAATTGTAAAGATTTCATGGACACTTATCACTTCCCCAATCAATACCCTTGTGATTTCCTATGCCTGTCTTTACTTTAATCTCTTAATCCTGTCAGTTGAGGAGGATGTATATCGTTCCAGGACCCTGTAATAATTGCGTTAACTACAAAAATTGCACAACATGTGTGTTTGAGCAATATGAAATGTGGGCACCCTGGAAAAAGAACAGGATAACAGCAATTGTTCCGGGAATGAGAGAGAGAACCTTAAACTCTGACTGCCGGTGAGCCGGGCAGAACAGAGCCATATTTCTCTTCTTTCAAAAGCAAATGGGAGAAATATCGCTGAATTCTTTTTCTCAGCATGGAACGTCCCTGAGAAAGAGAATGCGCACCTAGGGGTAGGTCTCTGAACGGGCCCCCCGGGGCGTACCTGTCTCTTATAGTCGAGATTGCAGAGGTGAAATAAACTCGTCTCCCATAGCGTTCCCAGGCTTATTAGGAAGAGGAAATTCCCGCCTAATAAATTTTGGTCAGACCGGTTGATCTCAAAACCCTGTCTCCTGATAAGATGTTATCAATGACAGTGGTGCCCAAAACTTCATTAGCAATTTTAATTTCGCTTTGATCCTGTGGTCCTGTGATCTCGCCCTGCCTCCACTTGCCTTGTGATATTCTATTACCCTGTTAAGTACTTGATGTCTGTCGCCCACACCTATTCGCACACTCCCTCCCCTTTTGAAAATCCCTAATAAAAACTTGCTGGTTTTTGTGGCTTGTGAGGCATCACGGATCCTACCAATGTGTGATGTCTCCCCCGGACGCCCAGCTTTAAAATTTCTCTCTTTTGTACTCTGTCCTTCTATTTCTCAAGCCAGCCAATGCTTAGGAATATAGAAAAGAACCTACGTGATTATCGGGGCAGGCCCCCCGATACGTACAGCTACTTAGGAGGCCGAGGCAGGAGGATTACATGAACCTGGGAGGCAAAGGATGCACTGAGTTGAGATCATGAGATCACGCCAAGGCACTCTAGCCTGGGCAAGAAGGTGAGACCCTGTCTCAAAAAAAAAAAAAAAAGGAAAGAAAGAAAGCACCCAAGTAAAATTAGCTGGGCATGGTGGTGCATGCCTGTAGTCCCAGCTATTCAGGAGGCTGAGGCGGGAGAATCACTTGAGTCCAGAAGGCTAAGGATGCAGTGAGCCATGACTGTGCCACTGTACTCCAGCCTGGGCAACAGAAGATCCTGTCTCCAAAAAAAAAAAAAAAAAAAAAAGGGCACGAAGAACCCACAATGTCCATCAAGAGCCAGAAGAGATCATTAGGACAGCCACACAAGTGACACAGTGGAGAGCTATACATCCATGACAACAAACTGCAGCCATATCAAAAACAAAACAAAAAAACAAAAAACACTGGATGGATCTCACAAACCCAGTGCTGAGTAGCAAATGGCAAATGCAGAAGAGTTTGTGCTGTATGCACTCCATCTGTATCAAGTTCAAAGCAGGGAAACCTGAGCTGAGCTGAGCCAGATGTATGCATGCATAGTAAACCATCACATAAAGCCAGGCCATGAGAGCATGGGGGAGCAGGGGAATTGGTTGGCATAGAGCATAGGGGGCAAAGAGCCTGTGGTGCTAGCAATAACTTTGCAACATAAATGGTGATTATGTAGGCTTTCATTTATAATGATTTGTTAAACTACATGTTTGCTTAATGTATTAGCCTGTACATGTGTTCTGTAATTAACCTTTATTTATTTTTGAGACAGGGTCTCACTCTGTCGCCCAAGCTGGAGTGCAGTGGTATGATCTTGGCTCACTGCAACCTCTGCCTCCCAGGCTCAAAAAATTCTCCTGCCTCAGCCTCCCAAGGAGCTGGGACTACAGCCATGCGCCACTGGGCCCAGCTAATTTTTGTAGAGACAGGGTTGTGCCATGTCACCCAAATTGGTAATTCTTTTTTTTTTTTTTTTTTTTAAAAAGAGGGGTCTCACTCTGTCCCCCAGGCTGGAGTGCAGTGGCACTATCATGGCTCACTGCACCTTAATCTTCCAGGCTTAAGCGATCCTTCCACCTCAGCCTCTCAAGTAGCTGGAACTACAGCCACACACCGCTACATTAATTTTTAAATTTTTTCGTAGGGTTGGGTCTCGCTATGTTGCCATGGATGGTCTCGAACTCTTTGGCTCAAGTGAGTCTCTCGCCTCAGCCTCCCAAAGTGCTGGGATTACAGGCATGAGCCCCTGCGGCCACCCTAATTGATTTTTTATTATTATTTTTGAGACGGAGTTTCGGTCTTGTTGCCCAGGCTGGAGTGCAATGGCGCGATCTTGGTTCACCACAATCTCCGCCTCCTGGGTTCAAGCAATTCTCCTGCCTCAGCCTCCCGAGTAGCTGGGATTACAGGCATGTGGCACCACGCCTGGCTAATTTGGTATTTTTTAGTAAAGATGGGGTTTCTCCGTGTTGGCCAGGCTGGTCTCAAACTCCCTACCTCAGGTGATCCGCCTGCCTCATCCTCCCAAAGTGCTGGGATAACAGGCGTGAGTCACCGCGCCCGGCAATTGATTTTTCAAAAACCATCCCTCCTCCTGTCCCAACTTCCTTGGCTTCCTAGTCTTGCACACCAAGAGATGCTGCATTGTTCAGGATACTACCAGCCACCCCCTTGCCCTGTACTGGGAGTGGCACCCTGCTAGTTGCTGCAATGGGAGTGTAGACAGAGAGCTAGACACTTACAGCTTCAGGACAGCCAGGTTGGCTTCCAGATCATAGGCATTTTCCTTGGCCTGCGTCTCTACATAGCGCTCCAGGGTGGCCAGGTTCTCAGGATTGTACCTAAAGGAGAATCAAGATAGGTGAGCACAGAGGAGACAGAAGCTGAGGCCAGCCACCTTATGGAGCAAGGGGCCACTGTAACCTGCTCCTCCCGCCCTTCCCCTCTAAATCTGGCACTGGCCACTTGCTCTATCCAGGTAGTGAATTATGTCCAGTATAATCTCTAGTAAAACTTATTCTTATCCCAGACCTCTCGCCTAAGCTCTAAACTCCACTGGAGCCCTGGCTCTTCCCTAGGATGCCTCCTCAACCTCTGAGCCAGTCAGTCACTGCAGCTTGTACACCTGGCCTCCTGAATGTCTCTGCTACTCACCCCTTCCTCCCCTGTTCAGGCCTCCACCCTGATCCAGCCCCATCCTCTCCTGCCTACCTCGCTGCCTACTTCCTCCATGTCCACCTGAACACTCTGGCCTTTGCTTCCCCCATTTCAGTTCTAATCTCTCCCGGCTATCGCTGTCTGCTGTCAGGTTTGTCTCCCTTATGGAAAGGGAACTCAGACCGTGAAGGCATGATCTGCCGCTGTCTGATTCGCCTGTGGTTCCCAGCATTGCCTAGCACTGACAGTTTATTTCAGTAAACGTGTGGAGAATGAATGACTTATAGAGCAGAGAAGGGAGAGATTAAGAGGCACTCAAAGGAGGCGGAGCAGAGAAGGAAACCTTAAGGCAATTTACGAAGAGACTGAGTGGTACCAAGATTCTCTCGCTTCTAGGCCTTTGCAGTGCTTTTGTTTCTTTCTTTTAGAGACGGGGTTTGGCTGTTGCCCAGGCTGGTCTCTAACTCCTGGGCTCAGGCGACCCACCTACCTCGGCCTCCCAAAGTGCTAGGATCACAGGCGTGAGCCACTACCCCCAGCTCAGTGCCGTTTCTTTAAGCATCTCCTCCTCCAGGAGGATAGAGAAACCCCACCCCGCGGCAAGCCCAGGACCCTGAACACCCCTTGCTGTCTCCGGAAAACCCTCTCCTCCGCCCCGCTTGGCCAGAGCGCTTCCTCCAACCGGGCTCAGACCTGTCGATACCCTTGAGCAACTTGCCCACGTTGGCTCTCATCTGCTCAAACATCGCCATGACTTCTGTCGCCTTCCACAACCAGGGCTGGAGGCTAACACTGACCCGGCACGGCGTCCTCAAGGACGGGAACAGGAAGAGGTGGTGGAAACGGAAACGACGTCGTTGTTGTCGCTCCAGCTCCTTGGGTGCGGTAAAGGGAAAGGCTCTAGCAGCAGCCGCCACGCTTTCCGGCTGCCACGTGACTTCTTCCTCGCAGGCGCAATTGGCGCGTGCGCATTCGCGCCACTCAAGCTGGACAGACAGCGTGAGAAAAATCTTACTGGATCCCAGTGCGCAGGCGCCTCTCGTGGCGAGGGGGCGGGGCTAAGCTTTTCCCGGGCCTCACAGACCCAGTTCCAGTGCCGGTAGCGCGGGAGCGTGCGCGCGCGAACTCACCGGGAAGCACCCGGAGCTCTGGCGGCGTGCGCGCGCGTTGTATTGCGCGCGGCCATGAGGCCACGGAGCTCTGCGGGAATGCACGCAGCAGCCTTACGTTTAGGCCATGGCCAAGTTCCGAGGGAGGTGTTCTGAGGTCCCTCTTGCCACAGGCCTGGGCGCCTGGTGCAGGATCCTGAGCTCTCCAGTTTCAAGTCTCAGCCCTTGGTCCCCAGCTCCAGGAGGAGGGTCCCACAAAGCTACTGTGCTCTGCCGGGCAGGGGCTGGGGTGAGGGCTCCTGGACTTCGCCGGATCGCGCCCCGTCTCCATTAGGTTCCGGTCTTGGAGCTGAGGGCGAGCGTCCCATTTGTACTGCCATGAATTATATATTATGTATAGGTTTTGTACACTGCAGGCCTACAAAATGCAGTTATGTGCCATGCATGTGGAGGTATATGTCCTGGGTACATCCACGTGTGTACTGTGCACACAGGTATCCAGGCAGATGCACGTCTACACGCCTGCGCAGTGCAGAGGAGGTAACCCAAGTGCATGTATGTGACAGGTGAACAGGCATGTACACTGCATAGCCATCCCTTTGCAGACCTGCCGCCTTCGGGTTGTGGCCAAACCTTCAAGCACCCAGCAGAGGTTTAGACACTACCTAGGAGACGGGGGCGGGGGTTCTAAGGCACCCCCCTCCAACCCAGTTACGATTAAGATCATTTGCATCACATTTACATCCAGCCCTGGGCCTTGGAGGTTGAGGGTGGTCCCTTGGGTCCCAAGACAAGCTGCCCCTCAGAGGCTCTCAGAGCCCAGGGGACGGGGGGGTGGAGCCCGTTGCACAGTCGTGCAGTGCAGCTGGGGCAGGAAGCGAGAGTGAGGAGGGGGGAGGCCACAGCCCGCGGAGGCAAGGCGGGTGCAGGGCTTCTGGGGACGGAGGGAGGTGCCAGAAGTTGAGCCCTGAGGCCCTGCTGGCCCCTGGGCGCAGGCCCAGCTCAGGCCCCCAGGGATGGACGTCGTGGACCCTGACATTTTCAATAGAGACCCCCGGGACCACTATGACCTGCTACAGCGGCTGGGTGGCGGCACGTATGGGGAAGTCTTTAAGGTGAGGAAGCCCCTCTGTCCCCAACACCCTACAACCAGTGACCTTTAAGGCAAGCCCTCGGCAGGGAGGAGGCTGCAAGAGGGGGTCCCAGTTCTTGACCTTGACTCAGGGATGCTGTGGAGGGACTCTGGCAAATGGAGCCTGCCTGACTGCCAACTTCCCCTTTGCAAGGCTCGAGACAAGGTGTCAGGGGACCTGGTGGCACTGAAGATGGTGAAGATGGAGCCTGGTGAGGAGGGAACATGGAGCTCCTTCCCCACATCCCCACCTTCGCCTCCTGGGACACTGGGATCACCTCCCCTGTAGCTCTCTCCCCATGCGAGCTGCCTTTTCTCTCCCGCCCTCCTCACAGATGATGATGTCTCCACCCTTCAGAAGGAAATCCTCATATTGAAAACTTGCCGGCACGCCAACATCGTGGCCTACCATGGGAGTTATCTCTGGTGATGAACCTCAGACCCACCCTGGCACCCAGCCCAGCCCCTAACCCGGAGTCCCCATTTCTTGATGGGGGTACCCTCAGTTCTTTTTTTTTCTTTTCTTTTTCTTTTTTGAGATGGAGTCTTGTTCTGTTGCCAGGCTGGAGTGCAGTGGCATGATCTCAGCTCACTGCAACCTCTGCCTCCTGGGTTCAAGCAATTCTCTGCCTCAGACTCCCGAGTAGCTGGGATTACAGGCGCTCACCACCCTGCCCGGCAAATTTTTGTATTTTTAGTAGAGATGGGGTTTCACCATCTTGGCCAGGCTGGTCTTGAACTCCTGACCTTGTGATCCACTCGCCTCGGCCTCCGAAAGTGCTGGGATTACAGGTGTGATCCACCGCGCCTGGTCTTGGCACCCTCAGTTCTAACCTTGAACTTCCATTTCTCACCATAACCCGACCTCCCATCCTGGACCCCCATTTTTGACTGGGCTAACCCTACCATGATCCTCACTCCTAAGTCCCACTTTTCTGACCAGAGCAGCCTCTAATCTAATCTCCAATCTAAAATTCCCATTTCTGACCAAGAGTACCCCAAATTGATCTCTTCATAGTAACTGAATTTGAAATCAACTCCCTTGAAACGAAGCTCTCACCATTCTGCTCTTTGGCTCACCCAGTTTCACTCTCTGCTCCTTTAATATAAACTCCTAAATTCCCTGATCCCCAAATTAATATTCCAGATGCCCCAATAATGACCTCTGCTCCCCAGAACAGGTGCCCTGGGCCCCTCTGTCCCCTCCAAATCTCCACAACCCGTGAGATCTCTGCCCTGCCTCCTAGGTTGGCGTGGGACGGCAGTGGGGTCCCGCCCAAAGGCCTAGGTTTGAGTTGACTTGCCCCGGAACTCACATTTCCTCTCTGAGCCTTAACTTCCTTGTCTGTAAAATGGGAATGAAACAACCTCACTCTGGTAGACAAGGAGAGGTGGAGTGATGAGAGCTGTTACGTTAAAGTTCTTATTGAACTAGAACAAGACAGAAGCAAACCAGGGGCTTTCCTGCAAATAATAATGTATTTACTGCTATTATTATTCTTACTCTTGAACCACTGCAGGTTGCAGAAACTCTGGATCTGCATGGAATTCTGTGGGGCTGGTTCTCTCCAGGACATCTACCAAGGTTAGAGAAAGGACAACGGGACCCAAGCACCCCTCCCTATCCCCACCCCCCAACCCCGACCCAAATTCACCTCTTCCGTCTCTGTGTGTGTATCTCACAGGAACTGTCTTTCTGGGCCATATTTCAAACTCCTGGGCTGAGCTGATCCTCTTGCCTTCAGCTGTCGAAGTGCTGAAACTACGGGCTTGAGCCACTGTGCCTGGCTTTTTTTTTTTTTTTTTTTAATATAACTGCTGGGCCTGGTGTGGTGGCTCACGCCTGTAATCCCAGCACTTTGGGAAGCCGAGGTGGGCGGATCACCTGAGGTCAGGAGTTCAAGACCAGCTTGGCCAACATGGTGAAACCCCGCCTCTACTAAAAATACAAAAAATTAGCCGGGCGTGGTGGCAGACGCCTGTAATCCCAGCTACTCGGGAGGCTGAGGCAGGAGAATCGTTTGATTCTGGGAGGCGGAAAACCTCTGATTCCTTCCAGCCCTAGACCTCAAATGTTAGAAAAGGAAGGACGTCATTGAGAAGTCCTCAGGAGGGAAACTGAGGCCCAAAGAGAGGAAGTGAATCCCACAGCTGGTCTGTCAGACCTGATGTCTGACGGCCTCTCTCTGTCTGTCTGTCTCTCTGTCTCTCTGCCTGTGTGTTGTTCTTACCTCGTTACCCTCTGGGTCTCTCTCTAAATCTGTCTGTCTCCCCATATTTTGGCCTCTGACCTCTGTCTTTGTCTTCTGTCTCATTTTTTTGTTTTTTTCAATCCTGTTCCTTTTGTATGTCTCATGTATGATCTGTCTCCGTTTCTCTGTCTCTCTCTGTCTCTGTGCCTTTCCTTATTTTGCAAAGTCACATGACGCCCCTGCTCAGAGCCCTCCTACAGCTTCCATTTCTCTCGGAGGAGAAGCCCAGACTCCTCATCAGGGTCCACCCCATGCTGGCCAATCTCACCTCCTCCCACTTTCCTCCTCCCCCTCCACTCCACCCCACCCCCTTTGCTGCTTTCCAGACCCACCAGGGACTATCCCACCTGGGGCCCTGCACTTGCTGTGGCTGGTCCCACTCAGAGTGGGAGCCCTCATGTCTTCACCCACTGTCACCTTCAGAGAGCAGCCCTGACTGACCACCTCTGTGAAATGTCATAGCTCCTCCTACGCGCACCTTTCTTGCTTTATGTTTCTTCTTGCTGTCTATCAGCGTCTGAGGAACTATATCATATTCTACTTATTTATCTTGCTTACTTTCTTTCTTTCCTTCTTTCCTTTTTTTTTTTTTTTTTTTTTTTTTTTGAGACAGAGCCTCCTTCTATTGCCCAGGCTGGAGTGCAGTGGTACGATCTCGGCTCATTGCAACCTCCACCTCCTGGGTTCAAACGATTCTCCTGCCTCAGCCTCCTGAGTACTTGGGATTACAGGCATGCACCACTATGCCTGGCTAATTTTTGTATTTTTTAGTAGAGATGGGGTTTCACCATGTTGGCCAGGCTGGTCTCGGACTCCTGACCTCAAGTGATCCACCCACCTTGGCCTCCCAAAGTGCTGGGATTATAGGCATGAGCCACTGCGCCAGGCCTATTGGCCTCTTTTATTTGCATTGCTGCCTCTTTCTGTCACTGACCACCCCACCATCTCCCCCTCCCACTGGTCCTATCCTATTTCCCCTCTCCCTATGGCACCCTCTTAGCTGGTGTGGGGGGGCAGGACTCCCCAGCCCAGGTTCCCTGGCTCCCATCCAATGCCTGGCCTGGCCGGGGTGACCTTTGCAGTGACAGGCTCCCTGTCAGAGCTCCAGATTAGCTATGTCTGCCGGGAAGTGCTCCAGGTAAGGAGAGGCCTGGGGATTCTGGGGATGGGAGGGGAGGGTGGCCCCACTCCAGCCCCCAAACACTCACTGTCCCCTTGTCCACCCTTCTCCCCAGGGACTGGCCTATTTGCACTCACAGAAGAAGATACACAGGGACATCAAGGTGGTCTGGGGGTGTAGGGGTGCTGTTGGGGGGTGGGGCCCAGGAGATGGGAGTGGCATTTCAGGGGCTCAGGGATCAGGGTAGTTTGAGCTGGCGGAGTGGGCTAGCACTGGGCTGGGGAGAGTCTCTGCAGCCTCCCATATCCCCTCTCATTCCCAGGGAGCTAACATCCTCATCAATGATGCTGGGGAGGTCAGATTGGGTGAGTAAGGCTGGGGGTTGAGCAGGGGGGCTGACTGGGGGGCCGGAAGCGCAGTGGACCCCAGATCACTATGTCTCCCTCTGCTTCCAGCTGACTTTGGCATCTCGGCCCAGATTGGGGCTACACTGGCCAGACGCCTCTCTTTCATTGGGACACCCTACTGGTGAGTGGCGCCCAGCGGGCAGCTAGGGGTGGAGTGGGGGTCAGTGGTTTTTCCTACCCTGGTTCCCCGGGATCCTCTTTCCTGGCTCCGTTCCCCTGCCTCGTCCTTTCTCCTTGGAAGATTCTTTCATTCTCTCTGGGTGTCGCTTGAGTTTTCCATTTTCCTCTCTCTTTGTGCCCTTTTCTGGCCATTGCTCTCGGTGTTTGTGTTGATTTTTATCTTGATTTCTCTGTCCCTCCATATCCATTTCTGTCTTTTTCCTCTAGCTCAGTTTGCAGTGCTCTCTGTCTCTTTGTTTCTGTCTCTCTCACTCTCTGTCTCTGCCTCTCTGTCTTTTCATTTTGTTTTGTTTTTAGAGACAGGGTCTCACTCTGTGGCCCAGGCTGGATTGCAGTGGCATAGTCACGGCTCACTGCAGCCTAGAACTCCTGGGCTCAGGAGATCCTCCCACCTCAGCCTCCCAAGTAGCTGGGACCACAGGTGTGCACCATGACACCTGGCTAATTTTTAAAATTTGTGTAGAGATGGTGTTGTTTTTTTTTTTTTTTCTTTTTCGTTCTTTTTTTTTTTCTTGAGACGGAGTTTTGCTCTGTTGCCCAGGCTGGAGTGCAGTGGCATGGTCTCAGCTCACTGCAACCTTCACCTCCCAGGTTCAAGCAATTCTCCTGCCTCAGCCACCAAGTAGCTGGGATTACAGACGCCTGCCACCACGCCCGGCTAATTTTTGTACTTTTAGTAGAGACGGGCTTTCACCATGTTGGTCAGGCTGGTCTCGAACTCCTCACCTCAGGTGATCTGTCCGCCTTGACCTCCCAAAGTGCTGGAATTACAGGCAAAAGCCACCGTGCCCAGCCGAGATAGGGTCTTGATAAGTTGCCCAGGCTGGTCTCAAACTCCTGGGCCTAAGCCATTCTCCTTGCTCAGCCTCCCAAAGTGCTGGGATTACAGGCGTGAGCCATCGCGCCCCGTCTGCATCTCTGTCTTCATCTGCCTGTGTCTGTCTTTACTCCTGTCCCTCTGTCTCTCCATCTGACTCTCTGTGTGCTGCGTCTCCCCTCAACTCCTTCTCCTTCTCTGCCCCTCCTTCCCTTCCTGTCCCCATGCCACCTCTGGCTCTCTGAGCGTGTCTGCCCCCAGGATGGCTCCGGAAGTGGCAGCTGTGGCCCTGAAGGGAGGATACAATGAGCTGTGTGACATCTGGTCCCTGGGCATCACGGCCATCGAACTGGCCGAGCTACAGCCACCGCTCTTTGATGTGCACCCTCTCAGGTAGGCAGGCGTGGGGTCCCCAGGCCCAGAGATCCTGTCTAGCCCTGGCCCAAAGCCCACCCTCAGCTTCCGCCTTCCATCCCAGGAACCTCCAATTCAGGGATCACCACTTGAGCCTACCTTTGCACGTGCTGCAGCTCTATTTTTTAAATTTAATTTAATATTTTATTTTATTTTATTTTTTATTTTTTAAGACAGAGTCTTGCTCTGTTGCCCAGGCTGGAGTGCAGTGGCACAATCTTGGCTCACTGCAACCTCCATCTCCTGGGTTCAAGCTATTTTCCTGCCTCAGCCTCCCGAGTAGCTGAGGCTGCAGGTGTGCACCACCACGCCCGGCTAATTTTTGTATTTTTAGTAGAGACGGGGTTTCAACATGTTGGCCAGGGTAGTCTCGAACTCCTGACCTCAGGTTATCTGCCCATCTTGGCTTCCGGAGGTGCTGGGATTACAGGCGTGAACCACTGCACCCAGCCTATTTATTTATTTTTATTTTTATTTATTTATTTATTTTTGAGATGGAGTCCCACTCTTGTTGCCCAGGCTGGAGTGCAGTGGCAAGATCTCAGCTCACTGCAACCTCTGCCTCCAGGGTTCAAGTGATTCTACCACCTCAACCTCCCAAGTGTGGGATTACAGGTGCACGCCACCATGCCTGGCTAATTTTTGTATGTTTTGGTAGAGACGGGGTTTCACTATGTTGACCAGGCTGGTCTTGAACTCCTGACCTCAAGTGATCCACTTGCCTTGGCCTCCCAAAATGCTGGGATTAAAGGTGTGAGCCACCACGCCCAGACATTTTTTAAATTAATTAATTAATTCTTATTATTTTTAGAGACAGGATCTGGCTCTGTCACCCAGGCTGGAGTGCAGCGGCACGATCGTAGTTCACTTCAGCCTTGAATGCCGGGGCTCAAATGATCCTCCTGCCTTAGCCTCTCACATAGCTGGTCCTACAGACCCATATTGCCACACCCAGCTATTTAAAAAAAAAATTTTTTTTTTGTCTCACTATGTTGCCCCAGCTGGTCTCCAACTCCTGGGCTCAAGCTATCCTCCCGCCTTGGCCTCCCAAAGTGTTGGGATTACGGGCGTGAACCACCACACCTGGCCTTGCCATAGCTCTATCACTTCATAAATGGCTTCCCTTAGGAGAGGCACCCTGGTGCACTGTAAAACCTGAACCTCACTTCCATGCTGTTTCTCACTTTGCCCTCTGCTGACCACAATGCTACTAGGAACCCCTCAAGCCATGAGGTCTGGCCCCCTTGAGGGTCTGAACCCCATGTCCTTTCCCTACTATTCTAGAGTTCTCTTCCTCATGACCAAGAGTGGCTACCAGCCTCCCCGACTGAAGGAAAAAGGCAAATGGTACGAGAGAGTAACAGGAGGGAGGGTGAGAGAGGGCAGGGCTGGGGCTGGGTGGCCTGATGGGAGGGTTTCTGGTCCCCTCATCCAGAACCTGGCTTCTTCTTCCCAAGGTCGGCTGCCTTCCACAACTTCATCAAAGTCACTCTGACTAAGAGTCCCAAGAAACGACCCAGCGCCACCAAGATGCTCAGTGTAACCCTCCCTTCCCCAAGATCCTCAGCCTAGGATTCCCTGGGGCCTTCCACAACTCCCGAGGACATGGATAACTTTGTTCCATGGAGTCCCCGTGGCCTTTCCAAAGTCCCTAGTGCCTCAGAATTTCCCAGGACCACCCCCGACCACCAGAGACCCTCCGGGTTATACCCCAGACCTTTCCCAAATACCCCGAGTTGCCGGAACTGACAAATTCCCAAAGGACTCAAGACTTGTCCTGAGTGTCCTCTTGAATCCCCAGGGAACCACAGTCTCTTCCAAGACAACTCTGGAATTCTCCTAGCCCCGCTCTGAGAAACCTAAATTCTTCTAATTCCTAAAAATGTCTTAGACTCCCACCGGTCGGCTGGGCATGGTGGCTCACACCTGTAATCCCAGCACTTTGGGAGGCTGAGGTAGATGGATCACTTGAGGTCAGGAGTTTGAGACCAGCCTGGCCAACATGGTGAAACCCCGTCTCTACTAAAAATACAAAAATTAGCTGAGCATAGTGGCGCACGCCTGTAATCCCAGCTACTTGGGAGGCTGAGGTTGGAGAATTGCTTAAACCCAGGAGGCGGAGGCTATAGTGAGCCAGGATCGTGCCACTGCACTCCAGTCTGAGTGACAGGGCGAGACCCTGTCTCAAAAAAAAAAAAAAAAAAAAAAAAAAAAAAATTAGCTGGGCGTGGTGGCACGAGCCTGTAATCACAGCCACTCGGGAGGCTGAGGCACGAGAATCAATTAAGCCCAGGAGGTGGAGGTTGCAGTGAGCCTGGATTGTGCCACTGCACTCCAGCCTGGGTGACAGAGTGAGACTCTGTCTTAAAACAAACAAACAAAAAAGAATACCCCAGGCCTCTGAGTTCCCTGGATTTCCCCGCCCTCTGCCTTCACTGGCACCTTCTCCCCAGCTAGATTCCTTTAGTCCAGTCCCCAAGGCCCTGTACCAGTCCTCTCTGTCCACACCAGCCCTCTCTGTCCACACCATCCCTCTGGATACGGACACCTCTTCCCTCCGCCAGCATCAACTGGTATCCCAGCCTGGGCTGAATCGAGGCCTGATCCTGGATCTTCTTGACAAACTGAAGAATCCCGGGAA
Source organism: Homo sapiens (assembly GCF_000001405.40). NCBI lineage: Eukaryota > Metazoa > Chordata > Mammalia > Primates > Hominidae > Homo > Homo sapiens. The sequence continues at coordinate 19,584 of NW_014040929.1, read as the reverse complement.
AGGACCCTCCATTGGGGACATTGAGGATGAGGAGCCCGAGGTGAGAGCCTTGGCTGACAAGAGCACTGGGGACCTCTCGGTCTTTCTCAGGCTGTGCCTGCTGCCAGCAGTGCCTTCCTGCTGCCTCTCTTAGGGGGAAAACAGGGAGGGAGGATGGGGAGCTTGGTAAAAGGCTGTGTGCCCAGAGGGTTACAGGAGAGAGCAGATGGACCCCGGGCAGGGTAGGAGGCTGCTTGGGGGTCTTGAGCCCTGACGTGGCTGCCCCTCTGCCCAGCTACCCCCTGCTATCCCTCGGCGGATCAGATCCACCCACCGCTCCAGCTCTCTGGGGATCCCAGATGCAGACTGCTGTCGTGAGTAGAGAATCCTTATGTTTGGGGACACCTGACCCTATAATAGACCTAAGAGACCACCTTCCCCTACCATCAGGCCTCCAGAGACCCTCAGCATCATCTGATCCTATAAGAGACCCCAGACAATCTCATCAGCACCTGAACTACAAAATGACCGTAGAGGCCAGGCGTGGTGACTCATGCCTGTAATCCCAGCACTTTGGGAGGCCAAGGTGGGCAGATCATCTGAGGTCAGGATGTCAAGACGAGCCTGGGTAACATGGTGAAACCCTGTCTCTGCTAAAAATACAAAAATTAGCCGGGTGTGGTAGTGCACGCCTGTAGTCCAAGCTACTTGGGAGGCTGAGGTAGGAGGATTGCCTGAACCTGGGAGGTGGAGGTTGCAGTGAACCAAGATTGCGCCACTGCACTCCAGTCCAGGTGACAAGAGCGAGACCGTCTCAAGGACAAAACAAAACAAAACAAAAACAAAAGCAAAATGACCATAGAGTTCCCAGGGAGACCTCAGAAATCTCATCAGAACCTCAATACCCAAACGGATCCTGAAAACACCCTGTAACTACATTGAGCCCCCAACTTCCTGATCCCAAAACTTATTTATTTGTTTATTTTTTTGTGACAGGATCTTGCTGTGTCACCCAGGCTGGAGTGCAGTGGTGTGATCACAGCTCACTTAAGCCTCAAACTTCTTGGGCTCAAGGAATCCTCCCACCTCAGCCTCCTGAGTAGCTGGGACTACAGGCTTATTCACCACGCGTGGCTAATGTTTTTTTTTTTTTTTTTTTTTTTTTTTTTTGAGACGGAGTTTCACTCTGTCGCCCAGGCTGGAGTGCGATGGTGCGATCTTGGCTCACCAAAACCTCTGCCTCCTGGGTTCAAGCGATTCTCCTGCCTCAGCCTCCAGAGTAATTGGGATTACAGGCGCATACTACCATGCCCGGCTAATTTTTGTATTTTTTTTTAGTAGAGACGGGGCTTCACCATGTTGACCAGGCTGATCATGAACTCCTGACCTCAGGTGATCTGCCTGCCTCACCTCCCAAAGTGCTGGGATTACAGGCGTGAGCCACTGTGCCCAGTCACTTGGCTAATTTTTAATCATTTTTTGTAGGGATGGGTTCTTGCCCAGTTGTCCAGGCAGGTCTCAAACTCTGGGTTCCAGCGATCTGCCCACCTCAGCCTTCCAAAGTACTGGGATTATAGGCGTGAGCCACTGCACCTGGTCTTGATCCCAAACTTGACCCCCAAATGAAGTCCCTGTAATCCAAGACCCCTTTCCCCAAGGGACAGTTCCCTGAGATCATTTGCAGTCCCCAAGATCCTGACTGCAACCCCCCCGCCAATTCTACTCTTTCTGTTCTTAAACCCATCTCGTTACCCCTTGCCCCCAGCTCACAGCAGGTTATCTTCCCCCACCCACCCTAGGGCGGCACATGGAGTTCAGGAAGCTCCGAGGAATGGAGACCAGACCCCCAGCCAACACCGTGAGATGCTGTCCCCCCACTCCCCACCACACCGCCTGCTTCCCTGAGGCCACTGCTGACCCTTTTCCTACCCCACAGGCTCGCCTACAGCCTCCTCGAGACCTCAGGAGCAGCAGCCCCAGGTCAGGGACCCCAGGGAGGATGGGGAGGGGGCTGGAATGTGGACAAGGCCCCCAAGGCTCATACCTGTCACCCTTCAGGAAGCAACTGTCAGAGTCGTCTGACGATGACTATGACGACGTGGACATGTAAGTGAGGCCCTGCCTGCAGCTCCACAGGCCCCACCTCAGCCCCCACCTTCCTACAATCCCCTGATGTGGCCTTTCCTCCACTCCTGACCCCGCTGCACCCCTGCCTTTCTTCTAGCCCCGAGCCCTGAGCCCTGATTAGACCCTCAATGCAGCCCCTCTGCCCAGCTACCTAGGCCCTGTTCCCTAACCCCACCTCCCTTAACCCTTCACCTCCAACCCCTGACCCCCAACCTGATCCCAGCTCCAGCTCCCACTTTCCTTCTTTCCTTCCACCTTCTTCTTTTTTTTTTTTTTTTTTTTTGAGATGGAGTCTCACTCTGTGGCCCAGGCTGGAGTGCAGTGACGTAGTCTCAGCTCACTACAACCTCGGCTCCCCGGGTTCAAGCGATTCTCCTGTCTCAGCCTCCTGAGTAGCTGGGATTACAGGCACCTGCCACCATGCCCAGCTAATTTTTTGTATTTTTAGTAGAGATGGGGTTTCACCATGTTGGCCAGGCTGGTTTCAAACTCCTGACCTCATGATCCGCCCATCTCAGCCTCCCAAAGTGCTGCGATTACAGGTGTGAGCCACTGCACTTGGCCTCCTTCCATCTTCTTATACAATCTTTTGACTTGACCCTCAGCGTCAGCCCCCCACCTGCTCTCCACCCCAGAGCTGACCCCAGTTCCTTCTAGAATGTGCTGCTGCTCCAATCTCTGACTTGACCCCACCTATCCTCCATGACCCTGCACCCTCAGCCACATCCCAGTCTCAAACTCCTCCCGAATGTCACTCTCACCCCAGACCCACCCTCCAGCCTTCAGCCCCAGCCCTCAGCTTTTCCTATCTTTTTGCCCGCCCTCAGGCTGAACCTTGGCACCTGGAAATCTCCCAAAGACCAGATACTGAGCCCCAGATCCAGACCCAACAGTCAGCCCAGGCCCCCATACTCCCCAGCCCACAGGCCGAGTCAGGCTCCATCCAGGTGCGCGCACTCACTTCACCCATCACGTGCGACAGCCTGTGTGTGGCGCCAGCACAGGGAGAGCAGGGCCACGGCGCTGATGTCACCTGTGTTACTAGGTGGTGTAAAGGTGCAAAGCCGTGGTGCACTGTCAGCACTCCACCTCCAAGAGTTGCTGTTACTGTTATTAGTCTTTTTTTTGGAAACAGGCTAATCATTTTTTTGTAGGATGGGGTCTTGCCATGTTGTCCAGGCTGGTCTCAAACTCATGATTTGTTTTGGCACCAAGGCTAAGTGCAGGAGTGCAATGATGGCTTACTGCAGCCTCAACCTCCCAGGCTCAAGCAATCCTCCCACCTCAGCCTCCTGAGTAGCTGCGGTCACAGGCGCACCTGCCACGCCTGGCTAATTTTTAATTTTTTTCTGGAGACAAGGTCTTGCTATGCTGCCCAGGCTAGTCTCGAATTCCTGGGCTCAAGCCATCCTGCCCTGGCCTCCCAAAGCACTGCGATTACAGGCATGAGCCACTATGTCCAGCCTGGCTATTAATCCTTTAATCCTCTGCTCCAGGCAGAACCAGTCATCCCTTAATCCTCCTCACCTCAGACCCCAGTCCCGGGCCTCCAGCCCAGAACCATGCCATCTTCCCCGAGTCCTTGTTCCCCAGCCCCCCAGCTATTTAACCCATCTTTGTGTTTCAGCCCCACCCCTGCAGAGGACACACCTCCTCCACTTCCCCCCAAGGTAAGGCCCTGGGCCAGAGCTGGGAGGCTGGGGCCTCAGGGCCACTGGGGGCCAGGAGGCCAGGTCCTTAGATGCTGGGATACTGGGCTCTCCAGGGCAGGGAATTGGGGAGACCAGGATGATGGCTACATTGGGATCTGGAAGTGGCATCCCTCAACCTCAGGGTCGGATTCAAAATATTTAGCCTCTTAGACACTGGTCAGTAGCTGGTCCTAGGAAGCCCCTGCTATATATCCAGCATTAACCCATTAGTTTCTGAAGTGTGTTGATGTCCAGGCTGGGGATGTCAGGGGAAGGCTGGAGGGGGCACAAGATGTTGTCGGGGGGGTGGGTCAGAGCCACAGCTGTTAGTTCTGGTGGAGGCAGGGACTTGAGTTGCAAAAGGGTGCCCTCTCTGAGATCATCTGATGTATTTCCCCACGCTCCATTCCCGTCTCCAAAGCCCAAGTTCCGTTCTCCATCAGACGAGGGTCCTGGGAGCATGGGGGATGATGGGCAGCTGAGCCCGGGGGTGCTGGTCCGGTGTGCCAGTGGGCCCCCACCAAACAGCCCCCGTCCTGGGCCTCCCCCATCCACCAGCAGCCCCCACCTCACCGCCCATTCAGGTAATGGGACAGGCTAGGGTGGAGGGCGGGAGGGTTGGGGGTTCTTGGGGGCTGATTTTCTCCTAACCCCTCTCAGAACCCTCACTCTGGAACCCACCCTCCCGGGAGCTTGACAAGCCCCCACTTCTGCCCCCCAAGAAGGAAAAGATGAAGAGAAAGGTGAGGTTCAGCTCTGCTGAGGACTTACACCTCTGGACGGGGCTGGGGATGCCTGGTGGGGTGGGGAGGGGGTGGCAGGACTGACAGTAACAACAGGTGACATTTGTTGAGCGCTTCTCTGTGCCCTACACTTATCTCCTATCATTACATGGCATAAAGCTTCACAGAGTGAAGAAGATATCACAGAGATGTTATCCCCCATTTCACAAATGGGGAAATTGAAGCACAGAGAGGGTAAGTGGCTTACCCAAGGTCATATAAATACCTTTGAGGAGGCAGGCTGAGGCAGGATTGTTGTTTCTGCTTTTTTTTTTTTTTTTTTAAAGACGGAGTTTTGCTTGTTGCCCAGGCTAGAGTACAGTGGCGCGATCTTAGCTCACTACAACCTCCGCCTCCCTAGTTCAAGTGATTCTCCTGCCTCAGCCTCCGGAGTAGCTGAGATTACAGGCAATGCAGCACCATGCCCGGCTAATTTTGTATTTTTAGTAGAGGTGGGGTTTCACCATGTTGGTTAGGCTCGTCTTGAACTCCTGACCTCAGGTGATCCACCTGCCTCGGCCTCCCAAAGTGCTGGGATTACAGGCATGAGCCACCGCGTCTGGCATGCTTTTTTTTTTTTGAGACAGAGTCTCACTGTGTCACCCAGGCTGGAGTGCAGTGGCGCGATCTCGGCTCACTGCAAGCTCCGCCTCCCAGGTTCACACCATTCTCCTGCCTCAGCCTCCCGAGTAGCTGGGACTACAGGTGCCCGCCACCAGGCCCGGCTAATTTTTTGTATTTTTAGTAGAGACGGGGTTTCACCGTGTTAGCCAGGATGGTCTCGATCTCCTGACCTTGTGATCTGCCCGCCTCGGCCTCCCAAAGTGCTGGGATTACAGTCATGAGCCACCGCGCCCAGCTACTAAAAATTTAAAAAATTAGCTGGGCGTGGTGGCACACACCTATGGTCCCAGCTACTTGGGAAGCTGAGGTGGGAGGATTGCTTGAGTCCAGAAGTTAGAGTCTTTTGACAAGATCCATCAAAACCTCCATGAGTCACTACCACATATGCAGTTGCCCAAAGAGCCAAGATCTCAAGAAATTTTACCTCTCATAAATGGAGATGTACAAAAAGAACATCTCTTTATTCAGGAAGTTTCAGTGTTTTTACGTACATGCATAATGCCTACACACGTAGTCAGTGTTGTGATAATGCACCTTTGTGGCATCAAATTTGCCAACAAATGCATAAAATGAATTAGAACTCTCTAAAGTCTTTTTTTTTTTTTTTTTTTTTTTTTGAGATAGTATCTCGCTCTGTCGCCCAGGCTGCTGGAGTGCAGTGGCGCGATCATGGCTCACTGCAGCCTTGACCTCGGAGACTCAAGCAATCCATGCACCTCACCCTCCCTAGTAGCGCTTGGCTAATTTTTTTTTTTTTTTTCTGAGATGGAGTCTCACTCTGTCGCCCAGGCTGGAGTGCAGTGGTGCTATCTTGGCTCACTGCAACCTCTGCCTCCCCAGTCTAAGTGATCCTCCTGCCTCAGCCTCCTAAGTAGCCATGACTACAGGCGCCCACCACCACGCCCAGCTAATTTTTGTATTTTTAGTAGAGACGGAGTTTTGCCATGTTGGCCAGGCTGGTCTCAAACTCCTGACCTCAAGTTATCTGCCAGCCTCGGCCTCCCAAAGTGCTGGCATTACAGGCGTGAGCCACCGCGCCCGGCCCAGCTTGGCTAATTTTTAAAAAAATGTTTTATAGAGGCAGGGTCTCACTATGTTGCCCAAGCTGGTCCTGAACTCCTGGGCTTAAGTGATCCTCCCACCTCGGCCTCCCAAACTGGTGGGATTACAGCCGTGCCTGGTTGGCTACCGGCTAAAAGTATGTATAATTTATACCTCCAGCACTGGAAATGATTCAAAGATGAAATGCATAGCATAATTAATCATACATATATACATATACATATATACACACACATATACATGTATATGTGTGTATATATGTATACGTGTATATATATGTATATGCATATATATGTACATGTGTATATATGTATATGTGTGTATATATGTATATGTGTATATATGTATATGCGTATATATGTACATGTGTATATATGTATACATGTATGTGTGTGTGTATATGTATGTGTATATATGTATATGCGTATATATGTACATGTGTATATATATGTGTATATGTATATGTGTATATATGTATGTGTATATATGTATATGCGTATATATGTACATGTGTATATATGTATACATGTATATGTGTGTATATATGTATATGCGTATATATGTACATGTGTATATATGTACATGTGTATATATGTACATGTGTATATATGTATATGTGTATATGTATATGCGTATATATGTACATGTGTATATATGTATACATGTATATGTGTGTATATATGTATATGTATATATGTATATGCGTATATATGTGCATGTGTATATGTGTGTATATATGTATGTGTATATATGTATATGCGTATATGTGTACATGTGTGTATATATGTACATGTGTATATAAGTATATATGTACATGTGTATATATGTATATGTGTATATATGTATATGCGTATATATGTACATGTGTATATATGTATATATGTATGTGTGTATATATGTATATGTGTATATATGTATATGCGTATATATGTACATGTGTATATATGTATACATGTATATGTGTGTATATATGTATACATGTATATGTGTGTATATATGTATATGCGTATATATGTACATGTGTATATATGTATATATGTATAGGTGTGTATATATATGTATATGTGTATATATATGTATATGCGTATATATGTACATGTGTATATATATGTATATATGTATATGTGTGTATATATATGTATATGTGTATATATGTATATGCGTATATATGTACACGTGTATATATGTATATATGTATATGTGTGTATATATGTATATGTGTGTATATATGTATGTGTGTGTGTATATATATGTGTGTGTGTGTGTGTGTGTCTATATATATATGTATATGTGTATATATATATATGCTGGCCAGGCACAGTGGCTCATGCCTGTAATCCCAGCACTTTGGGAGACCAAGGCAGACGCATCACCTGAGGTCAGGAGTTCGAGACCAGCCTGGCCAACATGGCGAAACCCTGTCTCTACTAAAATACAAAAATTAGCCAGGCGTGGTGTTGTGTGCCAGTAATCCCAGCTATTCAGGAGGCTGAGGCAGAAGAATTGCTTGAGCCCAGGAGGTGGAGGTTGCAGTGAGCTGAGATTGCATCACTGCACTCCAGCCTGGGCAACAGAGTGAGACTCCATCTCCAAAAACAAAACTGACAGCTGGGAGTGGTGCCTCACGCCTGTAATCTCAGCACTTTGGGAGGCTGAGGCAGGTGAATCACATGAGGCCAAGAGTTCAAGACCAGCCTGGGCAACATGGCAAAACTCCATCTCTACTAAAAATACAAAAATTAGCTGGGTGTGGTGGCACACGCCTTTGGTCCCAGCTACTCAGAAGGCTTAGGCATGAGAATCAGTTGAACTTGGGAAGCAGAGGTTGTAGTGAGCTGAGATCATGTCATTGCATTCCAGCCTGGGCAACCGAGTGAGACTCTGTCTTAAAAAAAACAAATGCTGATGATTTAGGATAGTGGAGGAAAAACTAAAAAAAGAAATATATAACAACAACAAAAAAAAACAAAAACAAACTGAAAAGAAAACTCAATGTATGAAAAAGTGTATTACAGGGATAGATTATGGGAAATTGCACCAAGGTAAGAGGCAGGATTTGAACCTTGGCACTCTCGCTCCAAAGTCGTAACCACTGCCCCTTCCTGTTCCCTGCTCTCTTTGCCGGATCTGCTGCCTGGCCCCGCGGCGACCTGCCCAGGGATGTGCCCTTCTCGTAAAGTTGTTCAATGGCTGCCCCCTCCGGATCCACAGCACGGCCGCCTGGACACATCCCTCCACCAAGGGTGGGCATTCTGGAGGGTCAAGGAGATCCTGTAGGGAATGGGAGAGCAAAAGTAGGGGTGGGGAGAAGCCTAAGGAAGGCACAAAGGCAGGGACGGGGAGGAGCTTAATGGAGTTGGGGTGTGGCCAGGCTGAAACAGGGGCGGAGCTTGTCCTTACACTCAGGATTTGGTGATCAAAGATGCATAGAGGGCAGCCAGGTGTGGTGGCTCACACCTGTAATCCCAGCACTTTGGGAGGCTGAGGCGGGTGAATCATTTGAGGTCAGGAGTTCAAGACCAGCCTGGCCAACATGGTGAAACCCCGTCTCTACTAAAAATACAAAAGAAGCTAGGTAGGCCGGGCATGGTGGCTCACGCCTGTAATCCCAGCACTTTGGGAGGCGGAGGCGGGCGGATCATTTGAGGTCAGGAGTTTGAGACCAGCCTGGCCAACGTGGTAAAACCTCGTCTCTACTAAAAACACAAAAATTAGCCAGGCGTGGTAGCACGTGCCTATAATCCCAGCTACTCAGGAGGCTGAGGCAGGATAATTGCTTGAATCCAGGGGGCGGAAGTTGCAGTGAGCTGAGATCATGCCACTGCACTCCAGCCTGGGCAACAGAGCAAGACTCAGTCTCAAAAAAAAAAAAAAAAAAAAAAAATGGGTAGAGGGATGAGTTGGAGAGTGAAAGTAGGAATATTGGAATTCAGGGGCCAGGAGTGTCAGAATATAACAAAAAGGTTAGAGTTTGGAGCACGAGAAAGATGGACAGCTGGAGGTTAATGATAGGGAGACTGGGAGCAGCATTTTGGGGTGAGGAATTTTAGAGATTAGGATGCAGCCAGAAAGGGACAGAATCTAGAGATCAAAGAGATGAAGACAAGGTCAGTGTTAAAGGAACAGGTCACACTGGACAGAAAAAGTCCTGTTTGGGGGTGTCTGAGTTTGAAGGTCAATGTTAGGATTGGCATTAGGGTATCAGAACTGGGGAGAAAGAGGGGAGGAAATCAGAGGACTATTTTGGGGGACAGGTCTAAGGTTGGGGTCAGTTTGGTTCAGAAGACAGTTGGGCAGAGAAGAAAGAACCACCAGAATATGGGTAGTCAAAAGGAGGGAGAGTGAGACTGGCTTGCGGGACCGTCCGCTCTGGCTTTGTTTGGGGAAACAGAGGCTGGGAGTATTGGTTTGGAGAAAGAATAGAGGGTCAGAGCTGGGGACAGAGTGTCAGTGTTTGAGGTCAGACAGGTGGGGATCTGGGAGGTCCCTGAGGATGAAGTCGGTCCCAGCGTCCTTGTCTGTGCCTCCAGACCAGCACCTGCTCCTGGGGGCAGAGGAAGGCATCTTCATCCTGAACCGGAATGACCAGGAGGCCACGCTGGAAATGGTGAGGAACCATACCGGGCCAGGGCAAGGGCAAGGGCCGGAGTCGGGGGTTGCTGGGGTGTCACCAGAGCCATCTCTCCCATTCCCTGCAGCTCTTTCCTAGCCGGACTACGTGGGTGTACTCCATCAACAACGTTCTCATGTCTCTCTCAGGTCTGGCTGTGGGTAGCAGGTGGGATGGGGTCGGAAGTTAAGGGGTCCAAGGGTTCGGGGGCTGGGAAGTAGACGGGCACAGCTGAAAAAAAACTTAGACTGCTTGGTCACAAAGTCCTAGGTTCAAATCCCAGACACTTTTTGACTGTGCTCCCCAAGCCTCAATTTCTCCATTTGTAAAATGGGGTTCACAATAGTCCTCACCTCTCAAGTCAATTTTGAGGTAGTTTCTACAATAAATTAGTCTTTTTTTTTCTTTTTTTGAGACAGAGTCTCCCTCTGTCACTCAGGCTGGAGCGCAGTGGTACAATCTCAGCTCACGGCAACCTCTGCCTCCCAGGTTCAAGTGATTCTCATGCCTCAGCCTCCTGAGTAGCTGGAATTACAGGTGTGCACCACCACACCTGGCTAAATTTTGTATTTTTAGTAGAGACAGAGTTTTACCCTGTTGGCCAGGCTGGTCTCAAACTCCTGACCTCAGGTGATCCAACTGCCTTGGCCTCCCAAAATGCTGGGATTACAGGCATGAGCCACCACACCTGGCCTTAGATTAGCCTTTTTTTTTTTTTTTTTTTTTGAGACCGAGTCTCACTCAGTTGCCCAGGCTGGAGTGCAGGGGCGTGATCTTGGCTAACTGCAACCTCTACTTCCTGGGTTCAAGCAATTCTCGTGCCTCAGCCTCCCGAGTAGCTGGTATTACAGATGTGAGCCATCATGACTGGCTTTTTTTTTTTTTACTTTTTTTATTTTTTATTTTTAGTAGAGATGGGGTTTTACCATGTTGGCCAGGCTGGTCGCAAACTCCTGACCTCAGGTGATCCACCCGCCTTGGCCTCCCAAAGTGCTGGGATTACAGGTGTGGGCCACCGCACCTGGCCTAAATTAGTCCTTTTTTTTTTTTTTTTTTTTTTTGAGATAGACTCTCACTCTGTTGCCCAGACTGGAGTGCAGTGGCGCAGTCTCGGCTCACTGCAACCTCCGTTTCCCAGGTTCAAGCGATTCTCCTGCCTCACCCTCCCAAGTAGCTGGGATTACAGGCACCTGCCACCACACGCGGCTAATTTTTTGTGTTTTTAGTAGAGACGGGGTTTCGCCATGTTGGCCAGGCTGGTCTCGAACTCCTGACCTGGTGATCCACTCGTCTCAGCCCCCCAAAGTGCTGGGATTACAGGTGTAAGCCACCGTGCCCAGCCCTAAGTTAGTCTTTAAATAGCTTTCATGTTCAGATGACAATCAGAACTTATTCCATACTTTACTAAGATAGAGTGAGCAAGTTATAGATTTCAAAATCTGGACGGGGTGCAGTGGCTCATGCCTGTGATCCCAGCACTTTGAGAGGCCAAGGCAGTAGTACTGCTTGAGCCCAGGAGTTCTAGATCAGCCTGGGCAACATAGTGAGACCTCGTCTCTACTAAAAATTAAAAAAAAATTAGCTGGGTGTGGTGGCACACACCTATGGTTCCAGCTACTCGGGAGGCTGAGGTGGGAGGATCACTTGAGCCCAGAAGTTAGAGGCTGCAGTGAGTCATGATCACACCACTGCACTCCAGCCTGGAAGACAGAATGAGACCCTGTCTATATATAACAATAAATAGGCCGGGTGCGGTGGTTCACACCTGTAATCCCAACACTTTGGGAGGCCGAGGCGGGTAGATCACCTGAGGTCAGTAGTTCGAGACCAGACTGGCCAACATGGTAAAACCCCGTCTCTACTAAAAATACAAAAATTATCCAGGCATGGTGGCGCATACCTCTACTCCCAGCTACTTGGGAGGCTGAGGCATGAGAATTGCTTGAACCTGGGAGGCAGAGGCTGCAGTGAGCCAAGATTATACCACTGCACTCCAGCCTGGGTGACAGAGCGAGACTGTCTAAAATAATAATAATAATAATAAATAAATGAAATAATTTCTAGTTTTGGGGGAAACACCAAGCCAAATGGGATTCATGAGTTAGTGAAAGCCACATCTGTGATGACAAACTAGAAGATTTTCTAGATGTGTTTCTTCTAAAACTTTGTAAGATGTGTAACTTCATCTGACTGGTTATGTGTCCAGAGTTTCTGATACGGCTACAAATACCACGAGGGTAGGGAACATATTTTTTATGCTCATCACTGTTCACCAGAGCCAAGCACAGCAGGCCTGGCCTACAATGGACGTTCAATCTATGTGGAGTGAGAAATGAATGAATGAATGACAAGTACTTGAGACTTGCAGGCTTGGGAGTTTCAGACAAAGGGATGGGGCTGAGGGAAGGGATGGAGGAAAGGAAGTGGTATATGGGATCCTATAACTTCCTGCTTCCCCCTACATACACACACCCTGCAGGAAAGACCCCCCACCTGTATTCTCATAGCATCCTTGGCCTGCTGGAACGGAAAGAGACCAGAGCAGGAAACCCCATCGCTCACATTAGCCCCCACCGCCTACTGGCAAGGTACCAGCTCCCAATGAATGGCACCACACAGCCTTATAATTCCTCCCATGCCCCTCTGCCTCCTGCTGTCCTACCCCCCTTCACACCTACCTATTCTCCAGGAAGAACATGGTTTCCACCAAGATCCAGGACACCAAAGGCTGCCGGGCGTGCTGTGTGGGTGAGAGAGAGCTTCACGGGTGTGCAGAGAGTGGGCGGGGCCAGGCCAGAGGAGGGGCTTGAACTGCATCCACCTGAGAAGGTTACAGAGTTAAGGCAATGTGTCCAGAACCCAGAAGATGGGTGGTAGTGTGGGTGGCGAGGAGGATAGAGGGCATTGATCTTGACTCATCCTTGCCCATGCCACAGCGGAGGGTGCGAGCTCTGGGGGCCCGTTCCTGTGCGGTGCATTGGAGACGTCCGTTGTCCTGCTTCAGTGGTACCAGCCCATGAACAAATTCCTGCTTGTCCGGGTAAGGGGCTTGGGAGGGTGCTGGGAACTCTGAGGAGTGGGTGGCTAAGGCCTTGCACCCTTTGCGCTTCTATCAAGAGCTCCATGAAGCCCCACCTCCGTCGAGGCCCCGCCCCAATCTCCCGAGGCCCCGCCCACCTGCGGTCTGCGCTTGGAGCCTCGTCCTTCTGAAGCCATCCTGATCCTTAAGCGCCGCCCCTCACACCTGGGCCTAATTATTCCTCAGGCTCAATGCTGCCACTCCCTGGGTGTCCTAGTAGAGCCCATTTAGAGCCTGTCTCTTTGAGTGTCTAAGCAGGTTTTGCTATCTTTGGGGCCCTGCCCGTCTGCCGCCAAGGTGGCATGCCCCCACATGGAAGCCACACCCACTCGGAGGTCACGACCCCCGTTCCCGCGGAGGCACCAGGCCTTATCCCCTGACATTTCTAGACGGCATCCCCCAAGACTTAGGGCCCTGGTTCGGAAGTCCCAGGCCAGCTACAAGCCACGCCCCCTGAGGCCCCGTCCTGAACCACCCCCTAGCCCGCCCCTCCCTGTGCGGCCCGCAGCAGGTGCTGTTCCCACTGCCGACGCCTCTGTCCGTGTTCGCGCTGCTGACCGGGCCAGGCTCTGAGCTGCCCGCTGTGTGCATCGGCGTGAGCCCCGGGCGGCCGGGGAAGTCGGTGCTCTTCCACACGGTGCGCTTTGGCGCGCTCTCTTGCTGGCTGGGCGAGATGAGCACCGGTGAGTGGGGCGGAGTCTTGCTGAGGGCGGGGCTTATCAGATCCGGAGGGGCGGAGCTGGAGGCGGGGCTTCGCTTAGCCTGAGGCACTACGGGACTGAGAAAGGGCTGGAAGGGCGGAGAAGGGAGAATGGCAGGTTTTAGTTAACTGGGGAGATTGATGATGGGGTGGGACCGGGATGGTGGGCGGGGTTTAGCCCACTTGCTTGTGAACTGAGGCGGTGGCTAAAGCACAGGTACTGGCCTTCTGGGGGTGGTGTGGGGAAAGGGGAATGGGGTGGGGTCAATCCTTAACCCACTCCCCCCAAACAGAGCACAGGGGACCCGTGCAGGTGACCCAGGTAGAGGAAGATATGGTGATGGTGTTGATGGATGGTGAGAACCCTCCTTCCTCCCCTTCCTCCCCACCCCTCCAGCTGCAGTCCCTAGATCTCTGCCTCCGAACTTGTGCTTCTCAGAACCCCCTGAGCCCCTCTGGGCCTTGCCCCTGTCCTACATAGCTTTCACACTGAATTTATGGATTGGTCCCTTAGTAACCCTCTAAGCCTTGCTCACAGTTCTTAAAACCGTCTATCTCCTTCCAGGCTCTGTGAAGCTGGTGACCCCGGAGGGGTCCCCAGTCCGGGGACTTCGCACACCTGAGATCCCCATGACCGAAGCGGTGGAGGCCGTGGGTCTGTGCAGGGACGGGAGAGCCCAGGATCAGGGGTGGAAACTCAAGTGATCCCCAAGGGTAACGGGCATTGCTTTCTCCCCAGCTATGGTTGGAGGTCAGCTTCAGGCCTTCTGGAAGCATGGAGTGCAGGTGTGGGCTCTAGGCTCGGATCAGGTAAGCCCCTCCATCCAAACTCCACATCACTGCCCCCCAGCCTCCATCATGACATTCATCAGATGGGCTCCGAGAACTCCTGAGTCAGAGTGTGAAGTCCTGGAGGGGAAACATCTTCCAAATTTCAGTTCAGATAGATCCCCTTCTTTGCCCCAGGATTTATTTTTTATTTTATTTTTATTTATTTATTTATTTAAGACGGAGTTTCACTCTTGTTGCCCAGGCTGGAGTGCAGTGGTGCGATCCCGGCTCACTGCAACCTCCACCTCCCGGGTTCACGCGATTCTCCTGCCTCGGCCTCCCAAGTAGCTGGGATTACAGGCATGCGCCACCACAGCTGGCTAATTTTTGTATTTTCAGTAGAGACGGGGTTTCACCATGTTCATCAGGCTGGATGGTCTTGAACTCTTGACCTGGGGTGATTCACCCGCCTTGGCCTCCCAAAGTGCTGGGATTACAGCTGTCAGCCACCACACCCGGCCTATTTTATAGATAGATAGATAGATAGATAGATAGATAGATAGATAAAATTTATTTATTTTTGGAGATGGATTCTTGCTCTGTCACCCAGGCTGGAGTGTAGTGGCGCGATCTCGGCTCACTGCAGCCTCTGCCTCCCAGGTTCAAAGAATTCTCCTGCCTCAGCCTCCTGAGTAGCTGAGACTACAGGTGCATGCCGCCATGCTTAGCTAATTTTTTTGTATTTTTAGTAGAGACAGGGTTTCACCATGTTGCCCAGGCTAGTCTCAAACTCCTGAGCTCAGCCAATCTGCCTTCCTTGGCCTCACAAAGTGCTAGGATTACAGGTGTGAGCCACCACTCCTGGCCATTTTTATATATTTTTTGAGACAGAGTCTCGCTCTGTCACCCAGGGCAGAGTGCAGTGGCATGATCCGAGCTCACTGCAACCTCTGCCTCCTGGGTCCAAGTGATTCTCCTGCCTCAGCCTCCCGAGTAGCTGGGATTACAGGTACACTCCATCATGCCCAGGTAATTTTTGTATTTTTAGTAGAGACGGGGTTTTGTCATGTTGGCCAGACTGGTCTCGAACTCCTGACCTCAAGTGATCTGCCCGCCTCAGCCTCCGAAAGTGCTGGGAGTACAGGCGTGAGCTACTTCACCCGGCCTGTTTGTTTTGGAGATAGGGTCTCTCTCTCTTGTCCAGGCTGAAGTGCAGTGGTGCAACCATAGCTAGCTGTAGCCTTGACTTTCTGGGCTCAAGCAATCCTCCCTCCTCAGCCTCTCAAGTGGCTTGGATTACAGGTGTGAGCCACTGCACCTGGCTGCTCTTGGATTTCTTGAGTCCCAATCTCATCCTGGGCCACTACTGTGACCTTGGGCTGGCAACGTTGCTTCTCTTTAAGCTTCTGTTCCCCAACTGTAAAATGGGGACCACTATAGAGATATATGGATAGTTAAGACAAGACTGTCTGGGTTGGAATTCAGCTGAGTGGCCTTGGGCAAATGACTTAACCTTCCTGTGCCTCACTGTCCTCATTTGGAAAATGGTGTTTATCTCACAGAATACTGTGTCAGACTTTGCCCTTACACTTTAGTATTTTTATTTATTTATTTTTGCTCACTCAGTTCCTTCCCTCTTTTTGAAATGGAGTCTCGCTCTGTTCCCCAGACTGGAGTGTTAGTGGCACAATCTTGGCTCATTGCAACCTCTGCCACCCAGGTTCAAGCGATTCTCGTGCCTCACCCTCACAAGTAGCTGGGACTACAGGCATGCGCCACCACAGCTGGCTAATTTTTGTATTTTCAGTAGAAATACAAAAATTATCTCAGCTGGAGATCTCGGCTCCAGTGGCACGCCCAGTGGCGCAATCTCAGCTCAATGCAATTTCTGCCTCCCGGGTTCAAGTGATTCTTCTGCCTCAGATCCTGAGTAGCTGGGACTATAGGCGCGCACCACCATGCCTAGCTAATTTTTGTATTTTTAGTAGAGACGAGGTTTTGCCATGTTGGCCAGGCTGGTCTCGAACTCCTGACCTCAGGTGATCCACCCACTTCGGCCTCCCAAAGTGCTGGGATTACAGGCGTGAGCCACCGTGCCCAGCTCCTTGCTGTCTTTAAGGGAGCCATGTTCGTAGTGACAGTGGAGGTATCTTCCAGGCACTGAGACACACACTTTTTTTCCCTAGCTGCTACAGGAGCTGAGAGACCCTACCCTCACTTTCCGTCTGCTTGGCTCCCCCAGGTATGTTGTGGGGTGGGGTGCAGAAGGACCTGGGAGGGGGCTTCTGATGTGAAGAGAGCATTCTGAGGTGTCCCCAGCAAGGTATCTCTAGCCTGGACAGTGTCTCACCTGGTCACCCTGCTTCCATCCCTGCTCCCTAGAGTCTGTTCTCTGCACTGCAGCCACGGGGGCGTTCTCTCTTTTTGTTTTGTTTCTCACTGTACTCAAAGGCTGGAGTGCAATGGCACGACCACGGCTCACTGCAGCCTTGACCTCCCAGGCTCAAGTGATCCACCCACCTCAGCTTCCTGAGTATCTGGAACTACCGGCATGTGCCACCATGCCCAGCAATTCTTTTATTTATTTATTTATTTATTTATTTATTGAGATGGAGTTTTGCTTTTGTTGCCCAGGCTGGAGTGCAATGGTGTGATCTTGGTTCACTGCAACCTCTGCCTCCCAGGTTCAAGCGATTCTCTTGCCTCAGCCTCCCAAGTAGCTGGGATTACAGGCATGTGCCACCACACCCGGCTAATACTATATTTTTTAGTAGAGATGGCATTTCACCATGTTGGCCAGGCTGGTCTCGAACTCCTGACCTCGGTGATCCACCTGCCTCGGCCTCCCAAAGTGCTGGGATTATAGGCATGAGCCACTGCACCTGGCCAATCCTTTTATTTTTTAATTTTAATTCTTTTATTTATAAAATTTTTTTAAAATTTATTTTTGACACAGAGTCTCGCTGTGTTGCCCAGGCTGGAGTGCAGTGGCACAATCTCAGCTCACTGCAACCTCTGCCTCCCAGGTTCAAGTGATTCTCATGCTTCAGCCTCCCAAGTAGCTGGGTTTACAGGTGTGTACCACCACATTTGGCTATTTTTTGTATTTTTAGTAGAGACGGGGTTTCGCCTTGTTAGCCAGGCTGGTCTCAAACTACTGACCTCAGGTGATCCAGCTGCCTTGGCCTCCCAAAGTTCTGGGATTACAGGAGTGAGCCACTGCACCTGGCCTTAATTTTATTTCATTTTTGAGACAAGGTCTCATTCTGTTGCGCAGGCTGAAGTGCAGTGTTACACACACAGCTCACTGCAGTCTTGACCTTCTGAGCTCAACTGATCCTCCCACCTCAGCCTCCCAAGTAGCTAGGTCCACAGGCATACACCACCACAACTGGCTAATTTTTAAAATTTTTTTGTAGAGACGGGGTCTTGCCATGTTGCCCTGGCTGTCCTTGAACTGCTGGCCTCAAGCAATCTTCCTACCTTGGCCTCCCAAAATGTTAGGATTACTGGCATGAGCCACCACACCTGGCTGCATTTTTTTTTTTTTTTTGAGACGGATTCTTGCTCTGTTGCCCAGCCTGGAATGCGGTGGCGTGATTTCAGCTCACCACAACCTCCACCCACTGGGTTCACGCGATTCTCCTGCCTCAGCCTCCCGAGTAACTGGGATTACAGGCATGTGCCACTGTGCCCGGCTAATTTTTGTATTTTTAGTAGAGACAGGCTTTCGCCATGTTGTCCAGGCTGCTCTTGAACCCCTGATCTCAGGTGATCTGCCCGCCTCGGCCTCCCAAAGTGCTGGGACTACAGGCATGAGCCACCGTGCCCAGCCCTGGCTGCATTTTTATTTTAGATTTTTATCTTATTAAAAATTTTTAACTATTAAAAATAACTATTTTAACTATTTTGACATAATTTAAAACTCACACTCCCAGAGAAGTTGCAAAAATCCCTTTTATCCAGATTAACCAGATCTTTTTTTTTTTTTTTTTTTGAGATGGAGTCTTGCTGTGTGGCCCAGGCTGGAGTGCAGTGGATCTCCACTCACTGCAACCTCTGCCTCCCGGGTTCAGGCAAGTCTCCTGTCTCAACCTCCTGAGTAGCTGGGACTACAGTTGCACACCACCACGCCCAGCTAATTTTTTTGTTTTTTTAGTAGATGTGGGCTTTCATCATGGTGGTTAGGCTGGTCTCGAACTCTTGACCTCAGGTGATCCACCCACCTCTGCCTCCCAAAGTGCTGGGATTACAGGCGTGAGCCACTGTACCTGGCCAGATGTTAATCTTTTTAACCGCATTTGCCTTATTATTCTTTTTTTTTTCTTTTCTTGAGACAGAGTTTCGCTCTTGTTGCCCAGGCTGGAGTGCAATGGCATAATCTCAGCTCACCACAACCTCCCACTCCTGGGTTCAAGCACTCCTCCTGCCTCAGCCTCCCGAGTAGCTGGGATTACAGGCATGTGCCACCATGCCCGGCCTCTTCTCTTTCTTATGCGCACACACCACACATACAAGTATATGTGTGTGTGTGTGTGTGTGTGTGTGTGTGTGTGTGATTTTTTAATGAATATTTGGGAATGAATTGCAGACGTGATGCCCATTTACCCCTAAAATACTTCAGTGTATGTTTCCTGAATCAAAGCAAGGACATAATGTTACAAACCACAGCACAGCTGTCAAAATCAAGAAAACAACACTGAAACATCACAACCTTCTAATTCATACCCCTACTCAATTTCACCAGTTGGCCAGGTGTGGTGGCTCACGCCTGTCATCCCAGCACTTTGGGAGGCTGAAGTGGGCAGATTACCTGAGGTCAGGAGTTGGAGATGGGCCTGGCCAACATGGAGAAACCCCACCTCTAGTAAAAATACAAAAATTAGCTGGGTGTGGTGGCACGTGCCTGTAATCCCAGCTGGGAGGCTGAGGCAGGAGAATCACTTGAATCGGAGAGGTGGAGGTTGCAGTGAGCCGAGATTACGCCACTGCACTCCAGCCTGGGTGACAGAGCGAGACTCTGTCTCAGAAAACAACAACAACAACAACAAAAAATTTCACCCGTTGTCCTAGTGACGCCCGTGATTATATATATATATATATATATATATATATATATATATATATATTTTTTTTTTTTTTTTTTTTTTCTGGTCCAA